>NT_187630.1:0-263666 GCF_000001405.40 Homo sapiens
CGCCCCCACCTTGGCCTCCCAAAGTGCTAGGATCACAGTCATGAGCCACCGTGCCTGGCCTAGGACTCCTGTCTCTCTCAGGTCTGCTTTCCTCCACGTGGGTTTCTTTCCCAGGAATGACCTTTGTACAACATGGAAAAGATGACCATCAGAGATCTAGATTTGCCTTGTCCTTTAACTAGCAGCCCCAGAGGGAAGGGCGTCCATCTTTCCTACCTATTTCTCCCACAGAAGTCCTGGGAATGGCTCTGCCCAAAGCACCAGCATGGCAGAGGTTCTGCAGTTAGTGTCTGAGAGCCTTAGTGTTTCAGCAATTTTTTTCACAGCTTCCCTAGGTCACAGAAATACTGAACAGTTCAATTACCAAGTGGCTAGGTCCAAATGGTTTGTGAACCTCTGCAATCCACTCATGGGATAGGCCGGCTGAGTCAGGCACCCACCTCTGCAAAGGAGGTGCACCCACACTTCCAGGAAGAAAATTATGATGGGCAAAGTATAAAAGATATCCACCATTCCTCTGTCCTGATGGAACAGCCTTGGCAGGCCTGTGTCTGGTAGATATAAACAGAGTGTGCGCGTGTGATAGGTAGCATATGATCAGCAGAAGAGCTGGCCTGGGTCTGGGGCTCTGTGGAGCGCATCTGGTTTATTTATAGGTTGCTCGTAACCCAACCTGGATCCTATTAAGTAACCTGTAAAAACAAGCCACACCACCGAACATGGAGGTCCAATGCCGATTCATGACCCTGAGAGCTCCATCCTGAGGGGGCGGGCCCGGAACGTGAGTACTGCATTTGGAATGAGGGATGCGGAACCGTGGGAAGGGACAAATCAGTTGCATTTATCTTTCCTTTTTTGCCCAAAAACCCAATAAACACACCTCTTCCTTGTTTAGTTCCTGTGCTCTGAGGGTGAATTGCAGCATGTCTAGAATGAAACTGAGCGGTTGTACTAAACTTGCTGCCTGGCACTGATGTTGCCCAAGGCAGGAAAGCCGGTGAATAGTGTCGCTTTGTAGGCAGGGGGGCAAGGAGGAGTTTGGCGTGGTTTGTACCAACTTGTCAGCATTGTTTATTGATAACAGTAAGACTGATTTTCTCCTGGTGAGACCCCCAGAGAGCTGTGCTGCAGAAGCTAGTTATGTAACAGGAATTTGTGTATGTGACCTGTGAAACATAAAAAACCCCAGCCGAGACTCTCTTTTGGGCCCCTTAGTTCTGTGGTGCTCTGTGCACCTGCCAAGGGTTCTGTATCTGAAAGAGGAAGTGCATTTTGCCATGACCATACAGTAGAGAGGACAATAGAAACCCAAACCGGCCCTGCCAGACCCCTTGCTGTGAGCTGGCCATAGCTGTGATGCACATCTTCTTCTTTTTTTTTTCTTTGGTCTCTGTTGCACAGTGGAGTCCAGTGGCATGATCATATCTCATTGACGCCTCCAACTCTTAGGTTTAAGCGTCCTCCCACCTCAGCCTCCTGGGTAGCTAGGACTACAGGGGTGTGCCACCACACCTAGTTTTTGTTTGTTTGTTTGTTTTGTTTTGTTTTGTTTTTCTTGAGACAGAGTCTTCCTCTGTCACCCAGGCTGGAGTGCAATGGCATGATCTCAGCTCACGGAAACCTCTGCCGCCTGGGTTCAAGCAATTCTCCTGCCTCAGCCTCCCAAGTAGCTGGGATTGCAGGTGTGCACCACCACACCCAGCTAATTTTTTGTATTCTTAGTAGAGATGGGGTTTCATCACGTATGCCAGGCTGGTCTCAAACTCCTGACCTCAGGTGATCCACCTGCCTCAGCCTCCTAAAGTGCTGGGATTACAGGCGTGAGCCACTGCACTCAGCCCAGGCCTAGTTAATTTTTAAATTTTTTGTAGCAATGGGAATCTCATTCTGTTGCTCAGGCTGGTCTCGAACTCCTGGTCTCAAGCAATCCTCCCACCTCAGCTCCCCAAAGTGCTGAGATTACAGGTATGCACCACCATGCCCTGCACACATCCTGACTTTAATGTTAGCTGTAGAGTGCTCCTTTCTCTTCAAGAATCTATAGATTTGTAAGCACTGTCATTTGGAGCCCTATAAATCATTAGCAATAAATCCTGTAACTGGCACTCTTAGTGCAGTCCCTAAGGTTAAAATGACTCGATTCTGTCTAATTGGGCTGAGAAGGACATAGATGTGTTAGTCTCTAGTTTCTCAAGCTAATCCACATGCCATTCTGCTGATAGAGGATTCGCATTCAAAATATCTATAGATATTGCCAGATTCTCATGTCTATCAGTAACGTGTGGACAGGCCTTTTGCACTACACTGTCATCAAAATTCGAGGTGCTCAATCATTTGCATTTTTGCCGTCTGAGAGGTGAAACATTTGATGTCATTGCCTGCACTTGTACTTGGCAAAATCAAGCATGCCAGGAAGGGAGTGTAGCTTGCCTATCTCCCTTGGTTTCCTGAGGAGGTTGCCAGAAGTGTAGTGCTCTCAGCAGCCCCTACGGAGTGAAGAATCCATTATTTCAGAGGAGATCAGAGCAAGCCAGAACTTGTGGTTTTACAATATTTTAGTTTGGGGTCAAGGGTTGATCGGCATTCAAGATTCATTCTTGGGCTGGGTGCAGTGGCTCACACCTGTAATCCCAGCACTTTGGGAGGCTGAGGGGGGTGGATCACTTGAGGTCAAGAGTTCAAGACCAGCCTGACCAACATGGTGAAACCCTATCTCTACCAAAAATATAAAAACATTAGCCGAGTGTGGTGGTGTGTGCCTGTAATCCCAAATACTTGGGAGGCTAAAGCAGGAGAATCACTTGAACCCGGGAGGCGGAGGTTGCAGTGAGCCAAGATCACGCCACTGCACTCCAACCTGAGTGACAGAGCGAGACTCCATCTCAAAAAAAAAAAAAAGATTCGTTCTTGTGACATATAAGGGAATGCTTCTATATCACAGGTACATCCCACCACATCCCACTACTTACTGCACCATCGCACCCACTTGAGGTTTCAGTGCAGCAAGCCTGACCATGCCCTACCACACCTCACACCTTTTCAGATCTGTGGTCCATTTTCTTTCTGTCTGCCTATACTTTTCTTGTTAATTTGTAGACACTCTTTACATATGATGCATATTAACCCACGGTCTGTCACATGTACTGCAAATATATTCTTCAGTCAGTCATTTGCCATTTTACTTTCCTTGTAGTTTTTTTTTTTTTCTATTCAGAGTTTTAAAATGTGACATAGACATTTTCCTTTAGGTACCTGGATTTCATGCCATGCTAAGAAAGGCCTTTATTCATCCAACATTATAAAAATGTCCTACATTTTCTTCTGGTATTTTATACTTTTATGTTTTATGTTATCAAATAAGAAAGGATGCTATTTGTTATATAGTATCATGTTATGTTTGTATAGCTATATGTTATTAATATAAGTGTTCCAGAAATTGTATGAAATTCCTAGAAATCTGATATATCCTGGTATAATGTTATCAGCTTTAATTCCAGTTATCTTAAAATGTCATATACCGCATGAATAACTAAATTTTCTTATGAAAATTCAGATGAACTCTCATGAGATCATTAACCATGGCCATTTTAATTTTTTTTTCATCCACCAAGCAGTTATCATTTACTCTGATGCTTTCCTGAAAGCACTTGCAAATCGCTATGACACAAAACTTCAAGAGATTCATAAAAAAAAGACTCAAGCACAGGTGTCTGATAACTTTTAAATCACACTGTTGAACCCATTAAACTGGGGTTGTTCTTAGCCTTACAGCCCTGTGAATGGGAGCTGGATGACTTCATAGAGACTTCAGAGAAATTGCTACAACAGTTTATACCTGGACAACCTTGGTGCCTGAGGCTGTGTTGGCCACACAGAAAGTTCACCAGAAACCTGATGATATCACCAGAGACATCCAAGCTGCAAGCCGGGAACACCCATCGGATTGAAACTGCCACACCAGAAGAAGAAAAAACAAATGCTATTTCTATATGAATACATCAGGAATAGATGCCCAAATCTGGGATCTTTAGAAATATAAAAGGCCAGGTCCAGGTGCTCCACCAGACGTGGGAAATACCGTCGACTGATCTAGTTAAATCAAGAGATTAAATCTCGGCTCTTGGGGACCCTAGTTTCAGGGTACTTTCCAAACTCTTGGCATTATCCTGTCATTAGTCCTACTGATAACATTTCCTATATGTTGCTTCTCTCAAGAGTCTTAAATGCTTGTGAGCAGCCACTGACTCATCACATGATCTCAGGAGGATGGAGGAACAAAAACTGCTTCAGTTGGAATTGTCAAAAAAAGAAAAAAGCCTACTGAAACTCTGCTTCACAGTCTTCAGACGGCCATGGAGACAAAGACATGTGGAAACCGAGTGTAGCGCTAAGCAGTGGGTCACACTCTGAGTCCGACTGAGAGAATGACCCAAATTGGGCAGTTGTTAAAAAGAAACAGGAAAATAGATGACCAGGTGTGGTGGCTCACACCCGTAATCCCAGCACTTTGGGAGGCCGAGGTAGGTGGATCACTTCGCCAACATGGTGAAACCCCCTCTCTACAAAAAGTACAAAAAAATTAGCCTTGTGTGGTGGTGTACGCCTGTAATCCCAGATACTCCGGAAGCTGAGGCATGAGAATCACTTGAACCCAAGAGGCAGAGGTTGCAGTGAGCTGAGATCGCGCCATTGCACTCCAGCCTGGAGTATAAGACCCTGTCGAAAGAAAGAACAAAGAAAGAAAGAGAAAGAAAGAAAGAGAGAGAGAGAGAGAGAAGGAAGGAAGGAAGGAAGGAAGGAAGGAAGGAAGGAAGGAAGGAAGGAAGGAAGGGAAAGAGGCCCTGAGCCGACTAGCTATGGCCATGTAACTGAAACAGAATTGATCCTGATTTCCCCTCAAATGCTGGTTCTAATCACAAATAAAAATTAAGCTTTTCTTCCTTGCCAACCTGAAAACATTAAGCCAACACAAATAAGCTTGTGCAGCTCTGTTTGCATGATAGAGATGAAGGAGCCTCCTCATTCATGCTTTGTAAGCTGCACTGTAACTGCTGGGCTACCTCTTAACCATGTTCATAAATTATTCTTTTGCATGCACATTCACCTTAAAAATTCTTAAATTTGATCTGATTTTATTTTTGACAAAGTATGATTTTGCTGTTGGCTCCTGAGAGTTGGCTTTGATGTGATAGTTATTGCTTATATTTCTAGCTTAATGGAAGCCTTTATTTGGATTTTGTTAAATGACGTTAAATATTTGTTCTGTAAAGGTTTATGGCTAGAAGGGGAGAGGAGGAGGGAAACGGAACTCTGGAGGAGAAGGGGAGGGAAGAGGGGCTTACGTGTCTAGTTGTGTCTCACAGGGTTTCTGGGTCAGAGAGCTCCCAAGGGTGGCAGCAGCTTGGGGGCCTTAGAATTTCAAGGCTCCAGCTCATCCATAGGTAACACTTGTCCTGTGAGGTTTCACAGGGCATGCAAAGCAGGCAGGCTCTAAATGGCTAACAGTCTAATTGTTGGGACTATTTTTAAAATAACTGGATGTGTACAAATTTGAGTTTGGCAGCAGTGGGCTTTTGAGCTAACAGATGTGAATCTGTAGGGAAGAAATAAAAAACCCCATGGGTCCATACGCCCAGGCCATTGTTGGCTCATTTATAGAACAGCAGCTTAGAGACAGCCCAGGTCCAAAGATTCTAATAAATTAAGGAGGTAAAGGCTCTCTCTTACTACATTGTGCACTGCATTGCAGACAGATGGGTCAAGTGTTTCAGGTGGGAGGAAGTGAAGGTGGAGCCACGTGGCCTACGGTAGCAATGAAGAGTTGATGGTGTGTAGTGGCGCTCATCTGTAGTTCCAACTACTGGGGAAGCTGAGGCAGGAGGATCGCTTGAGCCCAGTAATTTGAGGCTGCGGTGAGCCATGATATCATCACTACATTCTAGCCTGGAAACAGAGTGAGACCCCATCTCTTAAAAATAAAAACGAACTAATAACACAGGAGCAAGTGGTGCCTGAATGCTGAAGGTAGCAAAAGTTCCCATGGTGAGATTTCCTTCTGTGAAACCCCAGTGTACACTTCTTGCGATATTGGGAGTAATATCATCCTCTCCCATCATGGATATCAAGAACAATATTACAAAGGAGGTGTACACCCCCTGCGATATGGAGAGTAATAGTATGCTCTCCCCTTCGGGATATTAGGAACAATATCGCAGAAGGTGTGTACAACCCCTGCGGTATTGGGAGTCATATCATCCTCTCCCCCTGAATATAAGAAACAATACCACAGGAGGATGTACACCCCCTGCGATATTGGGAGTAATATCATCTTCTCCCCCTCGGGATATTCGGAACAATATCACAGTGGGTGTGTACACCCCCTGCGATATTGCCACTAGTATCATCCTCTCCCTGCCAGCATATAAGGAACAGTATCACAAGGGGGTGTACACCCCTGCGATATTGGGGATAATGTCTTCCTCTCCCCCGCTGGCTATTAGGAACAATGTCCCAGAAGGGGTGTACACCCCCTGCTATATTGGGAGTGATATCATCCTCTCCGTCCCTGGATATTAGGAACAATATCACTAGGGAGTGTACACCTCCTGCAATAGTGAGACTAATATCATCCTCTCACCCCCTGGATATTAGGAACAATATCACAGGGGTGGTGTACACCCCCTGCAAAATCAGAAGAAATATCATCCTCTCCAACTTTGGATGTTAGGGACAATATCATGGGGGGAGGTCTCCGCCCCCTGCGATATTGGGGGTCATATCATCCTCTCCCACCTAGGATATTAGGAACAAGATGACCGAAGGGATGTACACCCACTGCGATATTTTCAATAATGTCATCCTCTACCCCCTGGCTATTAGGAAGAACATCATAGAGCGGTGTACACTTTCTGTGATATCGGGAGTAATATCCTCTCCAGATATCAGGAAAAGTTATATTAATTATTAATATTAATATATATAATAAAAATTAATACTAATCATCGATAATAATTACAATGAAGGGAGTAAAAACTAATCCTGGTTAAAAAATTAATGATTAGTATTAATAATTAATAGTAATGTCACTATTAATAATGAAGTAATGATATCAGTAATTAATCTTAATTAAATCAATAAGTGATGTTGCTAATAAAATAACAATTAATATTAAGTTTAATAACCAATATTATTGATAAATGACATTCATATCAATAATTAATTTTAATTGTGCATGATGATATATTTAAAATATCAATTAATAATCTTATACTATTAATTAATATTAACATTGATAATTATTATTAAAATTGATAATTGATGTTTAATAATTGATAATATTATTACTCCTAATCCCGCAGGGGGTGTACACCTACCTGTGATAATGTTCCTAATATCCAGGGATGCAGAGCATGATTTTAGTTTTAATATCGCAGTGGGTGTACACTCACCCCGTGACATCGATCCTAATATACAGGGGGTAGAGTATGACATGACTGCCAACATAGCAATGAATGTACAGCCACCTGGTGATATTGCTCCTAATATTCACGGAAGAAGCGTATGATATTACTCCCAATATCGCAGGGAGTGTACACCTCTTCTGTGATATTGTTCCTAGCATCCCGAGGGGGAGAGGATGATAATAATTCCAGTAGCGCAGGCTGTGTTCACCCACCCTGTGAAATTGTTATTAATATCCTGGAAGGGAGAGGATGATATTATTCCCCATAGAGCGGGAGGTGTTCACCCACCCTGTGATATTGTTATTAATATCCTAGAAGGGAGAGGATGATATAGAGCAGGAGGTGCACACCCACCCTGGGATATTGTTCCTAATCTCCATGGAGGGGAGAGGCAGATATTACTCCCAATATGGCAGGGGCTGTATATCCACCCTGTGATATTGTTCTTAATATTCAAAGGCCGAGAGGTTGATATCACTCCCAATATCGCAGAAAGTGTACAGCCCCGTGTGATACTGTTCCTGATATCCAGAAGGGGAGAAGATGATATTAATCCCCATATCGCAGGAGGTGAACACCCACTCTGTGATATCTTTCCTAATATGCAGGGGGAGAGAGGATAATATTATTCCCAATATTGCAGAAGATGTACACGCCCCCTCCACCCGCCCGTGATACTGTCCTTCATGTCCTTCTCAGTCCAAGGCAGAGAAGATGATATCGCAGAAAGTGTACACCCCCCAGTGATATTGTTCCCATGATCCAGGAGGGAAGAAGATGATATTACTTTCCCATATCGCAGGGGGTGTACACGCCTCCAGTGATACCGTTCCTAATTTCCACGTGGGAGAGGATGATATTACTCCCAATATCGCAGGGGTTATAAACACTCCTTTGATATTGTTTCTAATATCCAGGGGGGAGAGGATGGTATTCCTCCCTATATTGCAGAGGGTGCACACCCGTCTTTGATATTGTTCGTGATTTCTAGAGGTGGAGATGATATTACTCACAAAATCGTAAACACGCTGTGTGTCCACCGTGGATCCTAATATCCAGGGAGGGATATTACTCCCCATATAGGGGGCGGGGGTGCACCCAGCCTGTCATATTGTTTCTTATGTCCGGGGAGGAGAGGATGATATTGCTACCAATATCGAAGAAGTGTACACGCCCCCTGTGATATGGTTCCTAATATCCGCGTTGGGAGAGGATGACATTACTCTCAATATCACAGGGGTTGTAAACCCCGCCTGTGATATTTTTCCTACTATCCAGAATAAGAGAGAATGATATTACTCCCAATAGTGCAGGCGATGTACCACCCCCCCCCATGTGATATTGTTCTCAAGAGCTAAAGGAAGAGAAGAGAATATTATTCTCTGTACTGCAGGGGGTGTACACCCACCTGTGATACTGTTCCTAATATCCAGGGAGGTAGAGCATGAGATTACCCCCAATATCGCCGTGGGTGTACACCCACTATGTGATATTGCTCCTAATATCCAGGGGGTAGAGTAGGACATTACTCCCAATATAACAGTGGGTGTACATCCACCCGGAGATATTCAGGGAAGCCGAAAATGATATTACTCCCAATACCGCAGAGAGTGTACAACCCTTCTGTGATATTGTTCCTAGTATCCGGAGGGGGAGAGGATGATATTACTTTCAATATCGCAGGCTGTGTACACCCATCCTGTGATATTGTCCCTAAAATGCAGGAAGGGAGAGGACCGCATTACTTTCCATAGAGTAGGAGGTGTACACCCACGCTGGGATTTTGTTCCTAATATCAAGGGGGAGACAGCGTAATATTACCCCAATATGGCAGGGGGTGTACATCCCCCCTGAGATATTGTTCTTGCCATTCAGAACAGGAGAGGATGACATTACTCCAGATATGGAAGAAAGTGTAAACCCCCGTGTGATATTGTTTCTAATATCTAGAAAGAAAGAAAAGGATATTAATCCCCATATCGCAGGAGGTGTACACCCACTCTGATATTTATCCAAATATGCAGAGGGGAAAGAGGATAATAATATTCCCAATATCGCAAGGGTTCTACAACCCCATGTGAGATGGTCCTTCATAATATTCCAAGGCAAAGGGGATGATATTACCACATATATCGCAGAAAACGTACACCGCCCAAGGATATTATTCCCATGATCCTGGAGGGAAGAGGATGATATTACTTTAAATATCACAGAAGGTGTACAAGCCGCCACTGATATTGTTTCTAATTTCAACGTGGAAGAGGAGGATGTGACACCCAATATTGCAGGGAGTAGAAACAGTCCTGTGATACTGTTCTTAATATTCAGGGAGGACGAGGACGATGTTACTCCCAATAGAGACGGATGTACAAGGTCTGTGCACCGATGGTGTACACTCGTCTGTGAAATAGATCATAATTTCCAGAGGCGGAGATGATATTACTCACGATATCGTAGACAGGCTGTGAGTCCACTAATGTGGACCGTAATAGCCAGGGCGGGAGGGGGGGTGGCTATTCCTCCCCGCATCGCGGTGGGTGCCTCAACCCCCTGCAATGGGGGTCCTAAGAGCAAGGGGGGGAGAGGGGCTGGCTGTTACTCCCCGCATCGCAGGAGGTGTGTACAACCCCTGCGATATTGAGAGTAATGTCATCCTCTCCCCCGGAATATAAGAAACAATATCACAGGAGGATGTACACCCCCTGCGATATTGGAAGTAGCATGATTTTCTCCCCCTCGGGATATTCGGAAAAATATCACAGTGGGTGTGTACAGCCCCTGCGACATTGCCGCTAGTATCTTCCTCTCCCTCCCAGGATATAAGGGACAAGGTCACCAGGGGGTGTACACCCACTGCGATATTGGCTGTAATATCTTCCCCTCCCCCTCTGCCCTTTAGGAAAAATGTCACAGAAGGGTTGTACACCCCCTGCTATATTGGGAGTGATATCATCCTCTCCGCCCGTGGATATTAGGAACAATATCCCTAGGGAGTGTACACCTCCTGCAATATTCAGACTAATATCATCCTCTCGCAGCCTGGATATTAAGATCAATATCACAGGGGTGGTGTGCACCCCCGGCGAAATTGGAAGAAATATCATGCTCTCCACCTTTGAATGTTAGGGACAGTATCACGGGGGAGGTCTCCGCCCCCTGTGATATTGGGAGTCATATCATCCGCTCCCACCCAGGATATTAGGAACGAGATGACCGAAGGGATGTATGCCCACTGCGATATTTTCAATAATGTCATCCTCTGCCCCCTGACTATTAGGAGTAACATCACAGAGGGGTGTACACTTTCTGCGATATTGGGAGTAATATTCTCTCCTCCACCGATATCGGGAACAGTTATATTAATTATTAATATTAATAAATATAATAGCAATTAATAGTAATCATCGATATTAATAATTACAGTAGAGACAGTAAAACAGTACGGATTAAAAATATTAACGATTACTATTAATAATTAATAGCAATATTATTAATAAAATAATGATATCAGTAATTAATGTTACTTCAATCAATCATAAGTGATGTTGGTAATAAAACAATAATTAATATTAAGATTAATAACTAATATTAAAAGTGACATTAATAATAATTAATTTTAATCATGCACA
This sequence comes from Homo sapiens, assembly GCF_000001405.40. Lineage (NCBI taxonomy): Eukaryota > Metazoa > Chordata > Mammalia > Primates > Hominidae > Homo > Homo sapiens. The sequence goes on from NT_187630.1 coordinate 11,093, forward strand.
ATCATATCTTGAAAATAATCAATGATTAATAATGTTATACTATTAATTAATATTACCATTGATAATTATTAATAAGACTGATGTTTAATAATTCATAATATTATTATTCCTAATACCGCAGGGGGTGTACGCCTACCTGTGATATTGTTCCTAATATCCAGGGACGGAGAGCATGATATTAGTTTTCATATCGCAGTAGGTGTACACTCACCCGGTGACACCGATCCTAATATCCAGCAGGTAGAGTATGACATGACTGCCAACATAGCAATGAATGTACAGCCACCCGGTGAGATATCTCCTAATATTCACGGAAGAAGCGTATGATATTACTCCCAATATCGCAGGGAGTGTACACCTCTTCTGTGATATTGTTCCTAGTATCCCGAGGGGGAGAGGATGATAATAATTCCAGTAGCGCAGGCTGTGTTCACGCACCCTGTGAAATTGTTATTAATATCCTCAAAGGGAGAGGATATTACTCCCCATAATAGATAGATATTACTCCCCATACTAGAGCAGGAGGTCACACCCTGTGATATTCTTCGTAACATTCAGAGGCCGAGAGGTTGATAATACTCCCAATATCGCAGGAAGGGTACACCCCCGTGTGAGATGGTGCTTAATAATATTCCAAGGCGGAGGGGGTGATATGACAACATATATGGCAGGAAGTGTACACCCCCCAGGGATATTGTTCCCATGATCCTGGAGGGAAGAGGATGATATTACTTTCCATATCACAGAAGGTGGACACGCCCCCACTGATATTGTTTCTAACTGCAACGTGGGACATGAGGATATGACACGCGATATCGCAGGGAGTAGAAACACCCCCGTGATACTGTTCTTAATATTCAGGGATGAAGAGGATGATATTACTCCCAATACAGACGGGTGTACACCCGTCAGTGAAACAGTTCATAATTTCCAGATGGGGAGATGATATTACTCACAATACCGTAAAAACGCTGTGAGTCCACCGCGGGTCCTAAAAACCAGGGGGGCGAGAGGGGCTGGCTCTTACTCCCCGCATCGCGGGGGGTGCCTGGATTTGAAGAACAATATCCCTGATGTTGGGAGGTGGAGTATATGACGAACAATATCACTGGGTGCGTGTACACCCCCTGCTATATTGGGTGTAGTATCATCCTCTCTTCCCTAGGATATTAAATACAATATCACAGGAGGGGTGTACATCCCCTGTGATATTGGGCATAATGTCATCGTCTCCCAACGTGGATATTGGGAATAATGTCACAGGGGGGTGTACACCTCCTTCCATATTGGGAGTAATATCATCCTCTCCCCTCAGGATTGTAGGCAAAATATCGAAGGGGTTTTACAACTCGTGCGATATGGGCAGTAATATCATCCTCTCCCCACCTAGATATTAGGAACTATGTCACAGGAGACTGTACACTTCTTGCGATATTGGGAGTAATATCATCCTCTCCCATCATGGATATTAAGAAGAATATTACAAGGGAGGTGTACACCCCCTGCGATATGGAGAGTAATAGTATGCTCTCCCTTTGGGATATTAGGAACAATATCACAGAAGGTGTGTACAACCCCTGTGGTATTGGGAGTCATATCATCCTCTCCCCCGACTATAAGAAAAAATACCACAGGAGGATGTACACCCCCTGCGATATTGGGAGTAATATCATTTTCTCCCCCTCGGGATATTCGGAACAATATCACAGTGGGTGTGTACACCCCCTGCGATATTGCCACTAGTATCATCGTCTCCCTGCCAGCATATAAGGAACAGTATCACAAGGGGGTGTACACCCCCTGCGATATTGGGGATAATATCTTCCTCTCCCCCGCTGGCTATTAGGAGCAATGTCCCAGAAGGGGTGTGCACCCCCTGCTCTATTGGGAGTGATATCATCCTCTCTGTCCCTGGATATTAGGAACAATATCACTAGGGAGTGTACACCTCCTGCAATAGTGAGACTAATATCATCCTCTTGCCCCCTGGATATTAGGAACAATATCACAGGGGTGGTGTACAACCCCTGCAAAATCAGAAGAACTATCATCCTCTCCAACTTTGGATGTTAGGGACAATATCACGGGGGAGGTCTGCGCCCCCTGCGATATTGGGGGTCATATCATCCTCTCCCACCCAGAATATTAGGAACAAGATGACCGAAGGGATGTACACCCACTGCGATATTTTCAATAATGTCATCCTCTACACCCTGGCTATTTGGAAGAACATCATAGAGGGGTGTACACTTTCTGCGATATTGGGAGTAATATCCTCTCCTCCCCGGATATCAGGAAAAATTATATTAATTATTAATATTAATATATATAATAAAAATTAATACTAATCGCCGATATTAATAATTACAATAAAGGGAGTAAAAACTAATGCTGGTTAAAAATATTAAAGATTGGTATTAATAATTAATAGTAATGTCACTATTAATAATGAAGTAATGATATCAGTAATTAATCTTAATTAAATCAATAAGTGATGTTGCTAATAAAATAATAATTAATATTGTTTAATAACCAATATTATTGATAAATGGCATTCATATCAATAATTAATTTTAATCGTGCATGATGACATATTTAAAATAATTATCAATAATTAATAATCTTATACTATTAATTAATATTAACATTGATAATTATTATTAAAATTGATAATTGATGTTTAATAATTGATAATATTATTACTCCTAATCCCTCAGGGGTGTACACCTACCTGTGATATTGTTCCTAGTATCCAGGGACGGAGAGCATGATTTCAGTTTTAATATCGCAGTGGGTGTACACTCACCCTGTGACATCGATCCTAATATACAGGGGGTAGAGTATGACATGACTGCCAACATAGCAATGAATGTACAGCCACCTGGTGATATTGCTCCAAATATTCACGGAAGAAGCGTATGATATTACTCCCAATATCGCAGGGAGTGTACACCTCTTCTGCGATATTTTTCCTAGCATCCCGAGGGGGAGAGGATGATAATAATTCCAGTAGCGCAGGCTGTGTTCACCCACCCTGTGATATTGTTAGTAATATCCTGGAAGGGAGAGGATGATATAGAGCAGGAGGTGCACACCCACCCTGGGATATTGTTCCTAATCTCCATGGAGGGGAGAGGCAGATATTACTCCCAATATGGCAGGGGCTGTATATCCACCCTGTGATATTGTTCTTAATATCCAAAGGCCGAGAGGTTGATATCACTCCCAATATCGCAGAAAGTGTACAGCCCCGTGTGATACTGTTCCTGATATCCAGAAGGGGAGAAGATGATATTAATCCCCATATCGCAGGAGGTGAACACCCACTCTGTGATATCCTTCCTAATATGCAGGGGGAGAGAGGATAATATTATTCCCAATATTGCAGAAGATGTACACGCCCCCCCCCCCACCCGCCCGTGATATTGTCCTTCATGTCCTTCTCAGTCCAAGGCAGGGAAGATGGTATCGCAGAAAGTGTACACCCCCAGTGATATTGTTCCCATGATCCAGGAGGGAAGAGGATGATATTACTTTCCCATATCGCAGGGGGTGTACATGCCCCCAGTGATACCGTTCCTAATTTCCACGTGGGAGAGGATGATATTACTCTCAATATCACAGGGGTTGTATACCCCGCCTGTGATATTTTTCCTACTATCCAGAATAAGAGAGAATGATATTACTCCCAATAGTGCAGGTGGTGTACCCCCCCACCTTCCACCATGTGATATTGTTCTCAAGAGCTAAAGAAAGAGAAGAGAATATTATTCTCTGTACTGCAGGTGGTGTACACCCACCTGTGATACTGTTCTTAATATCCAGGGAGGGAAGAGCATGAGATTACCCTCAATATCGCCGTGGGTGTACACCCACTATGTGATATTGCTCCTAATATCCAGGGGGTAGAGTAGGACATTACTCCCAATATAACAGTGGGTGTACATCCACCCGGAGATATTGCTCCTAATATTCAGGGAAGCCGAAAATGATGTTACTCCCAATACCGCAGAGAGTGTACAACCCTTCTGTGATACTGTTCCTAGTATCCGGAGGGGGAGAGGATGATATTACTTTCAATATCGCAGGCTGTGTACACCCATCCTGTGATATTGTCCCTAAAATGCAGGAAGGGAGAGGACCGCATTACTTTCCATAGAGTAGGAGGTGTACACCCACGCTGGGATTTTGTTCCTAATATCAAGGGGGAGACAGCGTAATATTACCCCAATATGGCAGGGGGTGTACATCCCCCCTGAGATATTGTTCTTGCCATTCAGAACAGGAGAGGATGACATTACTCCAGATATGGAAGAAAGTGTAAACCCCCGTGTGATATTGTTTCTAATATCCAGAAAGAAAGAAAAGGATATTAATCCCCATATCGCAGGAGGTGTACACCCACTCTGATATTTATCCAAATATGCAGAGGGGAAAGAGGATAATAATATTCCCAATATCGCAAGGGTTCTGCAACCCCATGTGAGATGGTCCTTCATAATATTCCAAGGCAAAGGGGATGATATTACCACATATATCGCAGAAAACGTACACCGCCCAAGGATATTATTCCCATGATCCTGGAGGGAAGAGGATGATATTACTTTAAATATCACAGAAGGTGTACAAGCCGCCACTGATATTGTTTCTAATTTCAACGTGGAAGAGGAGGATGTGACACCCAATATTGCAGGGAGTAGAAACAGTCCTGTGATACTGTTCTTAATATTCAGGGAGGACGAGGACGATGTTACTCCCAATAGAGACGGATGTACAAGGTCTGTGCACCGATGGTGTACACTCGTCTGTGAAATAGATCATAATTTCCAGAGGCGGAGATGATATTACTCACGATATCGTAGACAGGCTGTGAGTCCACTAATGTGGGCCGTAATAGCCAGGGCGGGAGGGGGGGTGGCTATTCCTCCCCGCATCGCGAGGGGCGGCCTCATCCCCCTGCGATGTGTACCGTAATAGCCAGGGGGGCAGGGGGTGGCTATTGCTCCCCATATCATCACCCCCCTGCGATGTATATCCATTATTAGCGGTCTTTTTCCCCGATATTCGGAACAATTTCATGGGGTTTGCCTACATAGCCTGAGATATGAAAACTGATATCATCCTCTGCACCTCCGGATATTAGGAACTATATCACACAATGGGTGTACACTTTTTGTGAGATTTGGGCTAATCTCTTCCTGTGTTTCCCTGAATATTCGGAGAAATATCACAGGGCGGATGTCCTTCCACTACTCTCTTGGGAGGAGCATCGTACTTTACCTACTGGAAATTGGGAGCAATATCGCAGATGGGCTGTCAAGCCACTGTCATATTTGAAATAATATCATGCTCTCCCCCACCAGTTATGAGGAACAATATCACAGGAGTGTATGTACCTTCTCCGGTATTGGGAGTAATATCATCATCTCTTCCTTCAGATGATAGGGACTATATCACAGGGTGGGTGTACACCCCGTGTATTTTTGGAAGCAATGTCATTCTCTGTTCTTCCAGATTTTAAGATTCATCTCACAGGCGGGGTGTACACCCCTTGTTATATCTGATGTAATCTCATCCTCTTTCAACCTGTATATTTAGAACAATATCCCATGGGGGCTGTACATCTCTTCAATATTGGTAGTAATACCATCTTCTCCTTTCCTGGATATAAGAAACAATATCACAGGAGGGGTGTACACCCCTTGCAATATTGGGAGTATTATCACCTCTCCCCATGTGGTTATTAAGGACAAAATCCCAGGGTGGCTGTACAGTTCCTACGTTATTGGGAGTAATATCATCCACTCACCCCCTGGATATCAGGAACCATATCACAGAAGAGGTGTACACCCCCTTCGATATTGTCAGCAATGTCATCCTCTTCCCACTTGGATATTAGGAACACTACCCCGGGGTTGGGGGCGGTGTACACCCACTGCAATATCGAAAGTAATATCAGCCTCTTTCCCGCTGGATATTAGGAACTGTATCACAGGTGTATGTGTGCACCTTCTGGGATATTGGGAGTAATATCAGCCTCTACCCCGCTGCATATTACAAACAATATATGGGGGGCAAGGCGGTTACACCCCCTGCGATATTGAGAGTCATATTATTCTCTTTTCCCTGTACATTAGGAACTATATCAGAGGGGTCTGTACACCTTCTGTGGTATTGGGATGAATGTTATCCTCTCCCCCACTGAATAGCAAAAACAATATCACAGAAGGGTGTACACCCCTTGCGATATAGCCAGTAATATCATCGTCTCTACTTTTGGATACTAGGAACAACATCACAGAGGGTGTGTACATCCCCTGCAATATTGGGCATAATGTTATCCTCTCTTCCCCTGGATATGAGGAACAATATCCCTGGTTGGGGTGGGGGGTGGAGTACATTACGAACAATATCACTGGGTGCGTGTACACCCCCTGCTATATTGGGTGTAGTATCATCCTCTCTTCCCTAGGATATTAAGAACAATATCACAGGAGGGGTGTACATCCCCTGTGATATTGGGCATAATGTCATCGTCTCCCAACGTGGATATTGGGAACAATGTCACAGGGGGGTGTACACCTCCTTCCATATCGGGAGTAATATCATCCTCTCCCCTCAGGATTGTAGGCAAAATATCGAAGGGGTTTTACAACTCGTGCGATATGGGCAGTAATATCATCCTCTCCCCACCTAGACATTAGGAACTATGTCACAGGCGACTGTACACTTCTTGCGATATTGGGAGTAATATCATCCTCTCCCATCATGGATATTAAGAAGAATATTACAAAGGAGGTGTACACCCCCTGCGATATGGAGAGTAATAGTATGCTCTCCCCTTCAGGATATTAGGAACAATATCGCAGGAGGTGTGTAGAACCCCTGCGATATTGGGAGTCATATCATCCTCTCCCCCTGAATATAAGAAACAATATCACAGGAGGATGTACACCCCCTGCGATATTGGGAGTAATATCATTTTCTCCCCCTCGGGATATTCGGAACAATATCACAGTGGGTGTGTATACCCCCTGCGATACTGCCACTAGTATCATCGTCTCCCTCCCAGCATATAAGGAACAGTATCACAAGGGGGTGTACACCCCTGCGATGTTAGGGGTAATATCTTTCTGAGAAAGGCTTAGAATTGGCAATAAAACTACAACCACGACCAAAATAATACTGATGCTATCTCAGAATTACCTTGCATTTTACCTGTGTTAACTTGTTTAGCCCTCCAACAAATTGCTGAGTTGTCCTCCCATTTTAAAGCTGAGCACGAATTAGTGGACCATCCCCTTCCAGAACTGAGGCTTTGTGGCTTGGGTCGCCAGTGGAGCAGCCCAGTGTCTGGCTGCAGCGAGCCTCTGCTTCGATGCTTGGCCCTGCCAAGGCGGTGGAGCCGGTCGGTGAAAATAGCTGCACACTGGCTGCCCAATGTCCACCTCACTCTTCTCCTCTGTGTATATCCTAGGCGTACCGTGGATTCACCTTCACCATCCTCTGAGCCCTGGGTGGCTGCACCAACTGGCCCTTCCACGGCACTGTGTCTGCTCACAGGTGTCCCAGGAACAGCCATTTCATAGAGCAGTTGGGCTCCTATGGTCCACTGCCCAACAGTCATTAAGAGCAACTCGTTCCCCTCAACCTGGAGAGGATCCGGCATTGGGTTGGCTGTGGGGCCCGCCTATGGAAAAGCTTCTCGGTCTTTCTGGCTTTTTTCCCCTGCATTCTATGCTGACCACAACTGCTGAGTGACTGCAAAGAAAACAGGCACATGAAGTTCTCTTAGCTTTTCAGAAAACAGATACAAAGGCTATAGGAACAGAAGTGAGTTCACTTCAGTGAGCAGAGCAGTGGGAACAAGACCAAGGGCTTCTCAAAATGCTTCTGCAGAGATCTTAATTTTGTTAGATTTAGAGGTCAATAAATGGAGTTTTCTGAGTCACTCGTGCTCTTCTGGCCTGGCCTGAGCAGGGCCCAGGGCAAGATTTACTTTTGTCTGACATAGAGCTGGGTCTTGGTACTAATGAGCTTTTTCAGACTTTGACTTGGGAAAGGCAGTGGCTATAAGCAGGATTGGACTTTTGGGTGGGGCCCTGGGTCTCTTGGACGAATTTACAATCTATTGCCTTCCAAGACTTTCTTCTTCAAAGCCCCAGTCAGACTGTTCATGGCCCATCCAAATCTTTCTATAACATTCATGGTCATCCCATAGCCCAAGGAGTTACTTGCTTATTGATTTTGTCATTGGAAACTGTATTGTTTTGCTTAACACATATCCTTAAATTTACAAAGGTAGATTTGTTATGAAAATTGCTTTGGGGCTGTCATAACCTACCTTTCAAGAATGAGAAACTTGGCGAGGTGCAGTGGCTCACACCTGTAAATCCAGCACCTTGGGAGGCCGAATTGAGAGGATTGCTTGAGCCCAGGAGTTTGAGATCAGCCTGGGCAGCATGGCACAAAACCCTGGCTCTACAAAAAAATACAAAAATTAGCTGAGGGTGGTGGCGCACGGCCGTGGTCCCAGCTACCCGGGAGGCTGAGGCAAGAGGATCACTTGAGTTTGGGAGGTTGAGGCTGCAGTGAACCAAGATCACACCACTGCACTCCAGCCTGGGTGATAGAGTGAGACCCTGTCTCAAAAAAAAAACCAGAAGCTGGAAGAAAACTAATATTGCAAAGCACTTACATAGATCCGAGGCCTTTTACATGCAAGGTTATTTGTGAGGATTATAAGGTATCATAAAGGCAGGTAGGGTTAGCTCCATTTTACAGATGGAGAAGCTGAGGCTTAGAGGTGAAAACTTGCCCAGCAATACAGGATTCAGACCCCAATAGGCCTACCTGGAAAGCCCTTCCCAACATATTATGCTGTTCATAGAGGGAAAAGATGAGCAAAGAATGGGGACTTTTCAAGAATTCACTTAGAATGTCAATGATAGAATCATGTGTGGGTATCTTGAGTTTGGCAATATAAATGACTAATTGTGCAGAAGCAAAATATCACATTTCCTGCTCCAGCAGAACTGCAGGATTCTCCAAACACAAGCGTGACTCACATGGTTGGAGTGCACACTCTGGATAATATAGATTTCAAATTCCGGCATATGATGAAGATATGAGAAATTTACTTATTTATTTATTTTGAGACAGGGTCTCGCTCTGTTACCCAGGCTGGGATGCAGTGACATGATCTTGGCTCACTGCAACCTCCACCTCCCGGGTTCAAGTGATCCTCCTGCCTCAGCCTCCCTAGTAACTGGGATTATAGGAGCCCACCACCACGTCTGGCTAATTTTTGTATTTTTAGTAGAGATGAGGTTTCACCATGTTGGCCAGGCTGGTCTCAAACTCCTGACCTCAGGTGATCCAACTATCTCGGCCTCCCAAAGTGTTGGGATTACAGGCGTGAGCCACCGCGCCCAGTCAGATAAGGGAAATTTATACAGGAGGTTATAAAGCCTTAACAATGTTCCAACATATTTTCTGGGTTTCCTGTTCTGAGAACAATTAGCAACCATCTCAAATTATGGGGTCACCAAAGCTCCCCAGTTTTGCTGCTGGTTGGCCTCTGGTTGCTTCGAGACTTTTTTTTTTTTTCCTGTCTCGCTCTGTCGCCCAAGCTGGAGTGCAGTGGTGTGATCTCAGCTCACTGCAAGATCTGCCTCCCAGGTTCACGCCATTCTCCTACCTCAGCCTCCCGAGCAGCTGGGACTACACGCGCCTGCCACCACGCCCAGCTAATTTTTTTTTTTTTTTTTTTTTTTTTTTCTGAGTGAGAGTCTTACTCACTTTGTTGCCCAGTCTGGAGTGCAGTGGTGTGATCTTGGCTCACTGAAACCTCCGCCTCCCAGGTTCAAGTGATTCTCCTGCCTCAGCCTCCTGATTAGCTAGGACTACAGGCGTGCACCACCATGCCCAGCTAATTTTTGTATTTTTGGTAGAAACGGGGTTTCGCCATGTTAGCCAGGCTGGTCTCTAACTCCTGATGTCAAGTGATCTGCCTGTCTCCGTCTCCCAAAGTGCTGGGATTACAGGCGTGACCCACCACACCCAGCCTCTTCAAGGAGACTTTGAAGCCTCTGGAGAGGACCTACAGGGCCCAGTTTGGACATGAGCATCTCCAGCCCAGGGAAGGGCTCAGTGAAGAAACCCCACTGAGCATGGGCCAGTCCCCCAAGGTGGTGCAGCTCTGTGGATTTCTCCTGGGCATCCCCTTTTCCCCTTTCAGACTCCTCCAGGTTGTTTGGCCTGGGAGCTGACGATGTGAGTGCATTTTTCATTGCAATGAGATCTTAGGGCTCTGCAAGACTTTGACAGAAGAGTCAGGCCTGTGAGTGCTGTCAGACCCTGGCCTGGAAGGTCTGGGGTCTCCCTGGTGTGCAGAGGGCAGGTCTTCACCACATGACGGCGCTTCACAGCCTGGGAAGGGCGTGTCTATCGTTGCGTTTTTAATTTGCATTTGCTTACTTATAAATTATATACTATCACACTCGTCTTTAAGCAAAGAAAAAAGAAAAAGAAATACAAATTACAGTCACACACTGCATAATGATGTTTTGGTCAAAGATGGGTAACCCATAAAATTATAACGGGTTTTTTTTGTTTTTTTTTTTTTTGAGATGGAGTCTCACTCTGTCACCCAAGCTGGAGTGCAGTGGTGCGATCTCAGCTCACTGCAACCTCTGCCTCCCAGGTTCAAGTGATTCTGGGCCTCAGTCTCCCAAGTAGCTGGGATTACAGACATGCGCTACCACGCCTGGCTAATTTTTGTATTTTAGTACAGATGGGGTTTCACCATGTTGGCCAGGTTTGTCTCAAACTCCTGACCTCAAGTGATCCGCTGGCCTTGACCTCCCAAAGTCCTGGGATTACAGGTGTAAGCCACGGTGCCCAGCCCATTTTAATCTTTTATATCATATTTTTACTGTCCCTTTTCTATATTTAGAGATGTTTAGATACACAAATACTTACCATTGTGTTACAGTTGCCTGCAATATTCAGTACAAGCACATGCTGTACAGACCTGTAGCCTAGGACCAATGGGCCATACCACGTAGCATAGGCATGGAGTAGGCCAGACCACCTAGGTTTGTGTAAATATACTCTATGATGTTTGTGAAATGATGAAATTGCCTAAGGATGCATTTCTTAGAATGTGTCCCCTTCGTTAGGTGAGGAATGACTGTACTAATGAGGTTGAGCATCTTTTTAAATATTAACTGGCCATTGGATATCTTCGTTTGTGAAGTACCTATTTCAAGTTTCTCATCCACTTTTCTATTGGACTATACATCTTCTTCTTACTAATTATAGGAATTCTTCACATTTGCTGGAAATGGACCTTTTGTGGATCAAGGGACTATTCAGTAACGAGAGTAAAGGAGGAGAGTGGAGAGTGGTGGGGGGCCTCTCATCAGGCCATAGAAACCACAGAAAAAGTCCTCGGCCTTAGCCTGAGAGCCATGGTGCCCTGGAGAAGGGTTTTTCTTACCATCTGACTATTCTGTTCTCTTCAAGACTGACAGCACTGGTGTCATTTGGGAGTTCGGTTAGAAATACAGAATTCCGGCTGGACACGGTGGCTCATGCCTATAATTCCAACACTTTGGGAGGCTGAGGCGGGCGGATCATTTGAGGTCAGGAGTTTGAGGCCAGCCTGACAAACATGGTGAAATCCTGTCTCTACTAAAAATACAAAAAAAAGTAGTCGGGCATGGTGGCACGCACCTGTAGTCCTAGCTACTTGGGAGGCTGAGGCAGGAGAATTGCTTGAACCCAGAAGACAGAGGTTGCAGTGAGCCGAGATCACACCACTGCACTCCAGCCTGGGAGACAGAGCAAGACTCCATCTCAAAAAGAAAAAAAAAAGAGAGAAATCGAGACCATCCTGGCTAACATGGTGAATCCCTGTCTCTACTGAAAATACAAAAATTAGCTGGGCATGGTGGCATGAGCCTGTAATCCCAGCTACTTGGGAGGCTGAGGCAGGAGAATCGCTTGAACCCGAGAGGTGGAGGTTGCAGTGAGCCGAGATCCCACCACTGCACTGCAGCCTGGGCAACAAGAGCAAAACTCTGTCTCAAAAAAAAGAAAAAAAAAAAAGAAAAAAGAAATACGGAATTCCAGGCCCTGTCCTGTCCAAGACCTCCTGAAACACAATCAGCAATTTGATAAGGTCTCCAGGGAATGATTTACACGGTAAAATCTGGGAAGTGCTGGTTTGTCAAGAACCTTCAGGATCACATCTGTGCTCTTCACAAACATCGCTTGGATTAAAAAGGGGGGAAGGGGCAGAGCCGTCCATGGTTACAGTTCTGTTCCAAGATAAATATACGCTTTCCTCTGCGCTGATTTTTTTCTGATGAGAAGACCAGAATATTTATGCAACTCCCTTGAGTAGTTATATATTTATAGGGGCAGGCAGTGGTCAACAGTGGCCCGAACCATTGGACTCCTTGCTCAAAACTGCCTCAGCTCATCTGCCTGAAATTCCAGTTACTGTCATGTTGTGGGGACCCATATAGGAACAAAACGTGGACTACTCGAGAGGTAGCTACCCTGCGCCCACAGACTGTGACAACGGAGGGTGACCCAGGTAAGTACTTCAATCGAATGAACTTTAATTTCCTTGGCTACACAATGCGAGTAACACAAATGCGCTTCCCTTACAATGCTATTTTGAGTGGTACATGAGAAAATGGATGTCAAGTCTTTTTTTCATTAAATGATATGTCAGTCAAAAGATGAGTGTGGATGGTGGTTACCATGGGTGGTGGACTTGAAATGACCTGTGTTCACTTCCTTTTACTTATCGAAGTGTCAACATTTGTTATCAAGAACATGCAAAACGTATGCATATGCAGGTTTTGAATAAAAAGCTAATGCGATATAATCTTTGTCAGTATCTAGATATATTCTAAAAAGCAAAGCTAAGATAGTATTATGAATCAAAATGTCTTTTCTTCTGTGCTCTGAAGAACTAATAGCATGCCAAAAAAATCATACTAAGGTATAAAACACACAAAATTTTCACACACACACACACACACACACACTTCTTCTGAGAGTTTCTATTTTCATGGCTATTGTAGGCGCCAGTCTGTTGTTTCTGTGCTGAATGTTCTAGAAAGTCTGAAGCCAACATACTTGGTCGCTCAAGAAATTCCTTTGTTTTATCTGAAATCTAGTAACTTCATTACATTTTCCCTGCTGCCACCATTCAGCAACCATTTTTCCTGGGACCTAGTGTGCTCTTTTATATCTAGAAATATTTCTTCAATTTTATCTTTAAATATTTGTTCTGTTTACATTTTCCAGTTTTCTTCTTTGGGGATTCCAAGGAGCATATGTTGGCATTAGCAAAATTCCTATTTATTCCATATGTTTTTGCTAAACTTTTTTCAGCACTTTATTTTCACTTCATCCCTGTCTTCTATATCTTTTTTTTTAATAGTGTCTGTTTTCTCTTGTATAAAATCCAATGAGCATTGATTTTTTTGTAATGACTTTATTTTTCTCTTCTCTTCTTTCCTAAGCTCCACCAGCTTCCATGTGCTTTCCTCCTGTTACCTTGCCATGTTTCCTCTGAGCCCTCACATCTCTGTTTTATGCTCTTGCATTGTAGGGGAAATTCCTTCACTAACTTTAACAAAATTAATTACAGAAGAATGATAGTTTCCATCAGCTTGCTGGCAGCATGTTTCTGGTGAGTGTTCTTTATCTGCTCTTTGTTTTTGTTGTTGTTGCTGTCTGCCTTTAGGTCTTTCTTTCTTTCTCTTTTTTTTTTTTTTTTTTTTTTTTTTTGAGACAGAGTCTTGCTCTGTTGCCCTGGCTGGAGTGCAGTGCTGTGATTATGGCTCACTGCAGCCTCAACATCCCAGGCTCTCAAACGATCCTCCTGCCTCAGTCTCCCAAGTAGCTGGACTACAGGTATGCACCACTACACCTGGCTAATTTTTTTTCTTTTTTATTCTTCTTTTTTTTTTGTAGAGACAGGGTCTCACTTTGTTGTCCAGGCTGGTCTTGAACTTCTGGGCTCAAGTGATCCTCCCGCCTTGGCCTCTTGAAGTGTTAGCATTACAGGTGTGAGCCACCTCACCCAACCCCTTTTTGTCTATATACTTAAATGCCTATAAATGTGTATATATATACATATATATGTACACACACACACATATATATATATTCGTTTTAATTGTAGTGAAATATATATAACCTGAAATTTTCTATTTCAAGCATTGTTAAGGGTACAGGTCAGTGGCATTAGGTATATTCACATTGTTGTGCAGCCATGGCCACCAACATCCACAGAACTCTTGTCCTCTTGCAAAACTGAAACTTTGCCCCAAGTAAACAATAACTCCTCATTCCCCTCCCCCAGCCCCTGGCAACCACGACTCTGCTCCCTAGCTTCATGAATTTGACTACCCTAAGAATCCCATATAAGGGGAATCCTACGGCGTGTGTCCTTTTGTGAGTGGCTTATTTCACCTAGCAGAATGTCTTTAAGGTTCATCCATGCTGTAGCATGGGTCAGAACTTCCTTCTGGCCAGGCGCAGTGGCTCACGCCTGTAATCCCAACACTTTGGGAGGCCAACGTGGATGGATTACCTGAGGTCAGAAGTTCAAGGCCAGACTGGCCAACGTGGTGAAACCCCATCTCTATTAAAAATAAAAAAATATTAGCCGGGCATGGTGGCACATGCCCGTAATCCCCAGCTACTTGGGAGGCTGAGGCAGGAGAATCGCTTGAAGCCGGGAGTGGGAGGTTGCAGTAAGCCAAGATCACGCCATTGGCACTCCAGCCTGGGCAACAAGAGTGAAACTCTGTCTCAAACAACAACAACAACAAAAAAAGCAAACAAACAAAAAAGACTTCCTTCTTTCTTGAGGAGGAATAATAGTTCATGATGTGTATATATCACCTTTTGGTCATCCATTCATCCATCAATGGACAGTTGGCTTGTTTCCACATTTTGGCTATTGTGAGTAATTCTGCTATAACCATTGTTATACAAATATCTCTTTGAGACCCTGCTTTCAATTCTCTTGGGTATATATATACCCAGAAGTGGAATTGCTGGATCATATGTTAGTTTTATTTTTAATTTTTTGAGGAACCACCCTGTTGTTTTACACAAGGTGAAAAACGTGTTGTTTTTTATGGACCAGCTATCTTACACAGCAGCTGCATTATTTTCCACTCCCACCGGCAATTCACAAGCATTCCAACTTGTCCACAATATATATTTCACCATGTTTTTCCTTCCTTCCTTCCTTCCTTCCTTCCTTCCTTCCTTCCTTCCTTCCCTCCCTCCCTCCCTCTCTTCCTCCCTTCCTTTCTTCCTTCCTTCCCTCACGGAGTTTTGCTCTTGTCGCCCAGGCTGGAGTGCAGTGGCATGATCTCAGCTCACTGCAACCTTTGTCTCCCAGGTTCAGGTGATTCCCCTGCCTCAGCCTCCCAAGTAGCTGGGATTACAGGTATGCACCACCACACCTGGTTAATTTTTGTATTTTAGTGGAGACGGGGTTTCGCCATGTTGGCCAGGCTGGTTTTGAACTCCTGACCTCAGGTGATCTACCTGCCTCAACCTCCTAAAGTGTTGGGATTACAGGTGTGAGCCACCGCGCCCAGCCTTCTGTTGTTGTTGTGTTTTGTTGTTGTTGTTGCTGTTTGTTTGTTTTTTGAGACAGGGTCTCACTCTGTCACCCAGGCTGGAGTGCAGTGGTGCTATCATGGCTCACTGCAGCTTCAACCTCCTGGGCTCAAGTGATCCTCCCATTTCAGCCTCCTCAGTAGCTGGGACACAGGCATGTGCATCATACCTGGCTAATTATTTTATTTTATTTTTGTGGAGACAGGGTCTCTCTATGTTGCCCAGCCTGATCTCAAACTCCTGGACTCAAATGATCCTCCTGCCCCAACCTCCCAAAGTGCTGGGATTACAGGCATGAGCCACCACACCCGGCTCATTTTTATTTTTCGGTAAGAGTCGTCTGCATAAGTGTGAAGTGGTATTTCATGTGGTTTTCAAAATAATTATTATTTTTTAATTTTTTGTGGAGACAGAGTCTCACTATTGTTGCCCAGGTTGGTCTTGAACTCCTAGCCTCAAGTGATCCTCCCACCTTAGCCTCCCAACATGTTGGGATTACAGGCATAAGCCACCGTACCTAACCTCGTTGTGGTTTTGATTTGCATTTTCCTAATGATTAGAGGTGTTGGGCATCTTTTCACATGCTTATTGGCACATATTGGGAGAAATATCTATTCACATCCTTTGTCCATTTTAAAAATTGGGGGTTTTTTGTTATTAATTTTTTTTGTGTAGACCTTGTGTTGATGGCTTTTCTTCTTTTCATGGACCAGCTATTTATGGAAAATTAAATAGAAAAAAGCCAGGGCTGTGTTCTAGGCTAGCAGAACTGTTCTTTATGACCTGGGCCTTCTACCTGAATTTCTAGTATATATTTCTCCCCAGCAATGGAATTGGCAGTTTTCAGATTGTTCACAAGGTGGAGTCTTTTCCCCTCTCTGCCTCAAAAACAAACTGCTTCCTACAAATATGGCTTGTCTCACTGTGTTTCCTCATTTAGTCCTATCGTCACTGCTTTGTGGAACCAATCCGGATTCACTGCCAACCTGTACACCTTAGTGGATTCACTGCCAACCTGTACACCTTAGTCTTACTATTTTGAACACAGCATTCTATTGTTGCACTTTGGGAACACCCATTGCCTTGAAGAGAGGCTTTTCTTTTCTCTGAAATTTGCAGTTATCAACATCTTCTCTCCTCTTCCTCCCAAAGCCCTGCTCATTCCCATTGCTTTTGGCATCCTTTTAATCTAGTTTATCTATTTTCCCTCGTCTCTAATAGATGGTATTTGCTTCATTTTCCTTGTTGCTTATGGGTAATTTTTGAAAGAAGAGAAATTGAGAATGTGATCCATTCATGTTCAAACCAGAAGTCTTTGCAAGCACTTCTGAGAGTTGCTGTACTATGATGGAGATAGCGAGAGGCTTGACAGCGAAAGAAACAGATGCTGGGGTCCCTCCCTGCACCCTCTCTCTGGGGTAGCTTCCTCTGAGTTATTCCTCAACCCCTCCACCTACCATTGGTGTTTCCCAGCTCCAGCCTCAGTGCTCTTCTCCCCTCTAAGCTCTCCATCCTCCGTGGATTTTATCTGTTTACGAATTCCCATCTCGGAGTCACCAGGCCTCAGCTCCGTATGGCGCCCCGCCACTCATCGCCTCTCTGAATGACTGTGGGGTCGGTTTTCTTCTTTAGGAGGGGAAGCTGCCTCTCTTCCGGCCTAGGATCCATTGTCATCTGCAGAGAGAGAAGTGCCAAGGGATCCTCAGAGATACCATGACTGCAGCACCAACCAAAATCCACCCAGGTAATCCTCTCCTGTTCAGTAAATTCTCTTGACCCCAGCTCACTGTCCCCACCTACAACGGGAGATGCTAGAGATTATGAAGTGACTTGAGGCACTGGATGTGGCTGATCCTGGGTCCGAAAGTGAAGGTGAGGAACTAAAGTCCCTTTCTTGCCCTATCTCCCATGAGATTCTGCTCACACTCCTCCTACAATTAGAGACCTCTCATCCTGGGTTCCTTAGCTGTGGTGACTGTATTTCATGAACCTCAGATCCAGATACATACTCAAGTCAGAATACAACATCTGTGTTGGCCGGGCGCGGTGGCTCAAGCCTGTAATCCCAGCACTTTGGGAGGTCAAGGCAGGTGGATCACTTGAGGTCAGGAGTTTAAGACCAGCTTGGCCAACATGGTGAAACCCCGTCTCTACTAAAAACACAAAAATTAGCCAGGCGTGGTGGTGCGCACCTGTAATCCCAGCTACTTGGAAGGCTAAGGCAGGAGAATCGCTTGAACCTGGGCGGCGGAGGTTGCAGTGAGCTGAGACCATGCCACTGCATTCCAGCCTGGATGACAGAGCAAGATTCTGTCTCAAAAAAATAAAAATAAATAAAAATCTGCGTTATCCCTCTGGGCCCTGCAACTCTTAATGGGTCCAGTTTTGTGGTCAGTCCAGGCACTGTTATCTGGTTGTGTGGTTGAGAATTCCAGAAGTGCCTAGATTTGTTTTTGGCCCAGCCATGCCTTCTCACTATGTGGCCCTCGAGGGAGATATTAGCATGAGGGACAATGGCAAACAGTAGTAGCAGAAAAGGACAATGCCTCGTTTTACCCTTCTGGCTTGGGGCTGACTCTCCAGAGCAGAGCTCTCTGGCAGAATGGACTGAACTACCTGGCTTAGGTCTACGTGAGCCTCTCCCTGCCTCTAAAACCAGACTCCAAGTTCAGGATCGCTGTGTCCTCCAGCAATGAATGCAGGGTGTCCGACTGAGAAGAGTTGAGAAAGCAAGATAAATGAACTGGGGCCAGTGGATCCCTTCTTCCGTGTTGAGAGAGGAGGCAGGAGAGAGGAGCAAGCTCCTTGCATCTGTGTGTGATCCCTGAGCACAGTGGCCACAGCCTCCACTGAAGGTGGCCTCCTGGGTGTCTTGTAATGGAAACCACTCAGAAGAGTCTAACGCCCTGTTTGGGAGACGTGAGTCAAAGCAGGGGGAGAAGGGTAGTTCTTTCTCGCTCTCAGTGTGATATTCTGAGCTTTCTCATGGAAGATGCATTTTTAAATTATCAGAAATTGATCGATTATGAAATATGATGATTCGTGAAACATCTGTGTACATAATCAAACACAAGATGATGTTGTTTGACCTCTCATCCTATGCATAAAGCACAAAAGTTGCATAGGAGATGAATTTAACTGGAAGGGAACTATGAGCCCATTTCATGGACAGACCCAGAACCTGTCCAGTGGTTCTCCCACTCCCGCTATATGATCATCCTCTGCCTTTGCTGGGTCTCAGCCCTGCTCACTCCCTTCTTGCCTCCTCCCCAAAATAAAGTCTAATAGAGTCATCTCCCAAGATCTATTCTAGCCCAGGACAGCAGGGAGAGCTGAGCAAGATTTTAAACATAAAAAACTTAGTGTCAGCTGGGCGTAGTGGCTCAGGACTTTAATCCCAGCACTTTGAGAGGCTGAGGTGGCCAGATGGATCACCTGAGGCCCAGGAGGTTGACAGCCTGGTCAACATGGTGAAACCCCGTCTCTACTAAGAATGCAAAAATTAGCTGGGCGTGGTGGTGCACACCTATAATCCCAGCTACTCGGGAGACTGAGGCAGGAGAATCGCTTGAACAAGGGAGGCAGAGGTTGCAAAGCCGAGATCGTGCCACTGCACTCCAGCCTGAGCCACAGAGCAAGACTGTGTATCAAAAATTAAATAAATATATACATACATACATAAAAAAACAAAACTTAGTGTCATGAATGATGAGGTCTTATTCTAAGTGTTGTTCTGTATCTGTCATTTACTGGGTATACACAGAGTAGGCAGGAAAGCGCAGATAACACACATCTCTGCCTTCAAGGTGAAGCTCCGGGCTGCCACAATAAACCACTCACTGCATCAGCTGAAACCTCTGCACTGTACCTATCTATGTAGAGCATAGGAAGAGAGCAAAGAAATAAAAAGCAGAATGCCTAAAATAATGGGACAAATCAAAGTTGAATAATTATAACAAAAAATAATTAATATGAATATGAATAACATTAAGAAAAGTATCAAATTGGGTCAAAATCAGATCTGAGTAATTTTCTACATCCAAGAGATAACCTGAAATAAATAGGACACAAAAGGCCAAAATAACAAGTTAGAAAAACTTACATAGAACCAACAAAAAAAGAAAACAATATTAACATTTAACAGTATTAATTTGTCAGATTTTGTCTTACCATGTACTTGGCAGCATTCCCTGCACCAAATGCATTACTGTACAAGTGGGAGATTTTATGATAAAATAATGAATAATAAATCTCATTACTAAAATCTTTTTATTCTATTGGCTTTTTGTTGTTGTTGAGACAGAGTCTCGCTCTGTCACCCAGGCTGAAGTGCAGTGGTGCAATCTCAGCTCACTGCAACCTCCGCCTCCCGGGTTCAAGAGATTCTCCTGCCTCAGCCTCCTGAGTAGCTGGGATTACAGGTGCCCACCACCACGCCTGGCTAATTTTTGTATTTTTAGTAGAGACTTGTTGGCCAGGCTGGTCTCGAACTCCTGATCTCAGGTGATCCACCTGCCTCAGCTTCCCAAAGTGCTGGGATTACAGGCGTGAGCCACCGTGCCTGGCTTCTATTGGCTTTTATTATAAAACTAACAAGTTACTTTGGTAACAAAGCTCAATAATATAGATGAGTGAAAAGTGCAAAAGTATTTTGTCACCCTAGCCCTAAATCTCCCTCCCTGAGCTAAGCCTGTTCACATTTGGTGTATCTCCTTCGAGAATATTCCCCTACTCCTACATCACATATATAGTACTTAAAAAAAATAAGAAAAGAATATAAAGAACATATTCTTCAACCTCTTTTCTTTTACTTAATATATCCTGGACCTCTTTCTAGGTCAGTTGTACATAGATTTGCCTCGTTCCTTTTCACATCCATAAACCTTTATTTTGTATTGCTCTATTTTCATGTAAACAGTCCCCGGCATGGATTTTTCAAATTGTTTCCATTTCTTTATACAACTTCAAATAACTGGATGAACATCCATACACGTTTGTCTGTTGTGTTGTGTTGTGCCGTTGTGTTGTGTCCGTGGTGGGTGTATTTCTAGAGGTGGGATGCTGAGTGTCAGGCACATGTACTTCTCATGTTAAGAGACATCCCAAGAAGGCCAGGTGCAGTGGCTCACACCTGTAATCCTAGCACTTTGGGAGGCCAAGGAGGGTGGATTGTTTGAGCTCAGGAGTTAGAGATTAGCCTGGGCAACATGGTGAATCTCCATCTCTACAAAAAAAAAAAAAATATATATATATATATATATTAGCTGGGTGTGGTGGTGCACACCTGTAGTCCCCGCCACTTGGGGGGCTAAGACAGGAGGATCACTTGAGCCCGGGAGGTTACTGCAGTGAGCCGAGATTGTGTCACTGCACTCCAGCCCAGGTGCCAAAATGAGACCATCTCCAAATGAAAGAAAAAAAAAAAAGAAAGATACCCTAAATCATCCTTCCAAAAGCCATAGCAGCTGAGCGCAGTGGCTCACGCCTGTAATCCCAGCATTTTGAGAGGCCAAGGCGGGCGGATCACCTGAGGTCAGGAGTTTGAGACCAGCCTGGCCATCATGGTGAAACCCTGTCTCTACTAAAAATACAAAAATTAGCCAGGCATGGTGGCAGGCACCTGTAATCCCAGCTACTCAGAAGGCTGAGGCAGAAGAGTCAGTTGAACCTGGGAAGTGGAGGTTGCAGTGACTGAGACTGCACCACTGCACTCCAGCCTGGGCAGCAGAGAGAAGCTCCATCGCAAAAAAAAAAAAAAAGAAAGAAAAGAAAAGAAAAAAAAATAGGTGAGGACTGGGAGAGACAGGTTTCAGGCATGGAGAAGGGAGTCATATTTATTAATCATATTATAAGCTTAAATTTTAAAAAATCTAAAGCATGCCATGTGGCAAACAAGGAAATTTGCAAGTTCCCGGTTCCAAGGTGTTACCTGGTAAGTTCTTTTAAGCTTTCAGAAAACAAGCAATTCTCACGTTGTACAAATTGTCCCAGAAATAGAAAAAATACGTTACACTATTTTTTATACCCACCATATGCTATTGCTGGGTGGAGATATAGCAGATCCTTGGTTTTAATGAGGGAGATATCATGAGACCCTCTCAATTGCTCAGGTTTGAAAATACTACATCAAATAACTTCCTTTGTAAAGTTTAACTAAAAATGTAAAGTTTAACTAAAAACATAAGCAGCTCTTTAAGCCCCTGCTTGAAGCAGTGTGGCAGCGGGGAAGGGGTCAATCACTGGTTCCATTTCTGGTTAAAGTAGAGGCAGCAGGCAGGACAAGGTGGCGACATTATCAAAGAACTCATCTGGATATCAAAACTGTTATGACCCCAAAGCACGGTTGGGCGCAGTGGCTCATGCCTGTAATCCCAACACTTTGGGAGGCCAACATGGGCAGATCACTTGAGGCCAGGAGTTCAAGACCAGCCTGGCCAACATGGTGAAACCCTGTCTCTATTAAAAATACAAAAAATTAGCCAGGCTGGTAGTGCACACCTGTAGTCCCGTTACTCGGGAGGGTGAGGCAGGAGAATTGCTTGAACTGGGAGATCGCGCCATTGCACTGCAGCCTGGACAACAGACAGAGACCCCGTCTCAAAAAAAAAAAAAAAAAAAAAAAAGACGCCAAAGTGCCATGATAAGGGAGTGTTTCTATAAACATGACAATACATCTTCTCTTAAGGAAATAGCATAGAGTCATCAAAAATAATAGTTATAACAACTGTATAGCAAGATGGAAAATACTTGTATAACATTACATTTTAAAAACAGGGCACGTGGCCAGGCACAGCGGCTCATGCCTGTAATCCCAGCACTTTGGGAGGCCAAGGCAGATGTATCACCTGAGGTTGGGAGTTTGAGACCAGCCTGGCCAACATGGTGAAACCCCCATCTCTACTACAAATAGAAAACTTATCCAGGCATGGTGGTGCGCACCTATAATTGCAACAACTCGGGAGGCTGAGACAGGAGAATCACTTGAACCCAGGAGGCGCAGGTTGCAGTGAGCCGAGATCGCACCACTGCATTCCAGCCTGGGTGACAGTGAGACCGTCTCAAAAATAATAATAATAATAAATAATAATAATAAATAAAAACAGGACACACCATTATAAGTATAAAAGCCATGCGAAAAATAATACGGATTTGAAAAATAACGGGAAGTAGAGAATGAAATCAATAGTTATGTTGCAGGAGAACTAGGGGTGATTTTTGTCAAATTATATTTTTTGTCAAATTTGACTATCTTTTTGTCAAATTATATTGAAAATACATTTAAAGTGATTTTTGAGCAACAAAAGAAGCTGCAATGTGAGAGAGAGTGTCTGAACAAGGTGGACTCTGCTGTGTTGCCTGCCTGGGTAAAACCAACCACCATCCCGCCCACGAGCCTTGTCATCAGGCAGGTGTCATTCAGCAGGGACTGGACTGTGCCTCTCTCAGGGCTATAGATGATAGGCACTGGACAGAATGAGCGTTCACTTGCTCCCAAGTTAAAAATGTTATCAATTAACATGGCCCCGATTGTCTTGGTGCCTATCATTGTGTTGTTGGATGATTCTCAGAAGACTTTTGTGACTTAACGAAATGGGAAAAGTTCCCTTATCCCCCTTGCACAGTATAAAACGGGGTGTGGCTCACTTCTTCGGTGCCCTGCGGCTCAAACCCCTAGGGGGAGCATGCGGACCGGCAGGTCTTGGGGAGCGTGGGCTCCGACCCCACAGCAGCCCCATCTAGGGTTGAGTGTTTGCAGCTCCCGAGCCCCAGTGAGCTTATCGGAAGGACAAAGCAGAGGGTCTAATTTCTGTACTCCAGGGTTCTAACCCTAGTATGCCAGAAAAATTGGATCACACGTGGGCTTGGAGAGTGAGTGCAAGGTTTTATCGAGTGTAGTTCTCAGCAGATGGATGGGGAGCCAGAAAGGGGATGGAGTGGGAAGGTGGTCTTCCCCTGGATTTGGGCCACTCAGCGGTTCTCCTCCAACTGCCTTTGGCTAAATTCCATGTCATTCAGCCGTGGATGACCTGTCAGCATCCGCCGGTGTATTCTTCTTCCTGTGTGTTCCTCTCGATGTCCAGCTACTTGTGTGTGTCTGCCTGTTAGGTGGGGATATGGCGGGCCAGAGTGGTCTTAGAAAATGCAGCATTTGGGAGCGAAAGCAGAAATGCTTGTCCTCACTTAGATCCATGGGCCCAGGCCCGAGGGTGGAACCCTCACCGGGGACCATGCCTTTATGTAAGCAGCACTTCCCTGCCTGCTCCCATATCATTAACGTATAACGTCAACATTTCAAAAGTGCTTTACCAATCTACTTTGCCACTAGAAGCCTAAGCGATTTCCAGTTTTATTGCATCCTAGTCAACCTTGGGCATTCCCATGGTTTGTTTGTTTAAAATCATTAGACAAAAATCATGTGACATTTCTGAGACATTAAGATTTTTGTTGTATTCTTTTTTTTTTCTAATTCTCCAATATTGTAATTAGACAGCCAACTTTCCCGGAGCACTGTTATGTCTTTTCGGGCTGAGATGACTCAAGAAGAAATGTCCCTGATCCTTGTCCATCTCCAGGCTTGGGAGAAGGTTGTAAAGAAATGTGGCTTCGAAAGGTAATCTACGGAGGTGAGGTCTGGGGGAAGTCCCCAGAACCTGAGTTCCGTGAGGGCAGAGAACAGGCTGTTATGCTTATGGCCACAATCCCAGCATCCAAAACAGTGTCTGTCACAGACCCAGCACTCAATGAGTATTTGGGTTTTGTTTTGTTTTGAGACAGAGTCTCTTCTCTGTTGCCCAGGTTGGAGTGCAGTGGCACGATCTCGGCTCACTGCAACCTCTGCCTCCCAGGTTCAAGTGATTCTCCTGCCTCAGCCTCACGAGTAGCTGGGATTACAGGCGCCCGCCACCACGCCCGGCTAATTTTTATATTTTTTGTAGAGATGGAGTTTCCCCATGTTGGCCAGGCTGGTCTTGAACTCCTGATCTCAAATGCTCCACCCGCCTCGGCCTCCCAATGTGCTGGGATTAGAGGTGTGAGCCACCGTGCCCAGCTGTCAATAAGTATTTGAATGAAGGAATAAAATCTGATTGTTAATATCCAGATCTGTAGCCACCTTCATAGGATGAAACATACAAATGGGTTCCAACCAAGTTGGCTGAAGTGTTGCTCATGTTGTCTCATGTGCAATTGGAGATATGCAAAAAAGATAAAATGTACACATCCGCATAAAAAATATCTTAGTAAAAAAAATGTAAAACCTTTCGTAAGGGCAGGCACGGTGGCTCACGCTTGAAATCCTAGCACTTTGGGAGGCCAAGGTGGGCGGATCGCTTGAGGTCAGGAGTTCAAGGACAGATTGGCCAACATGGTGAAACGTCATTTCCACTAAAAATACAGAAATTAGCTAGGTGTGGTGGAGCATGCCTGTAATCCCAGCTACATGGGAGGCTGAGGCAGGAGAATTGCTTGAACCCGGGAGGCGGAGGTTGCAGTGAGCCAAGATTGCACCACTACTGCACTCTAGCCTGGGCGACAGAGCAGGGCTTCATTTAAAAAAAAAAAAATCCTTTGGTAATGGTAAGTACATTGGTATACTGATAGATGCCCAGACACATGGCTTAGAGGGCAATGGAATCCTAGAAGCAGAATTTGCTGGTTTTCTCCCAATCCAGGAATATTCCTTCCTGGGTCTGCCTTCACCCTTTCCCAACCCATGATAATGTCTGAGTCTTGCCTTGAGATCCAAGCTCCTGGGACTTCCCTTTCCGTTGCCTTGGCCTGGGCATTCAGACTCTCCCACAGAGCTCAGCTGCAACAATAGACTCACAACAAACTCTGCTGCCTAACAGAGGCTGCACTTAACTCTTGCCAAAGTGTCCATAAGGTTCTCTAAAGTGGGTTGCAATGCTCCCGCAATTTATAGCAACCAAATGCCTAAAGATAAAATCTTCATGCGTCATGCAAATGGGTTGCCTGCGCTTTCAGACACAGGTACAGTTATTGACTTCTCTGTGTCCTTGGCCCAGCCTCCCTCTACTGTTCTCTCTCCCACCTCCACTGTCAAGATTTCCCCCCAGTGCTCCCGTTAAGTCTGAGAAAGCTCCCCAAAAAAGGCATTGACTTTTCAGGCACAGGCACAGCCATTTTTCTTATCCGTGTCCTTGACTTTGGCTACTGGCCAATGCATGCTGCATGGACTGGAGTTAACAGGGGCCCTTCCTATGTGCTTGTACAATGTTAACCTCTCCTCCTTTGGTAAAGGAAAAGGGATGATTTTTCCTATCTTGGGGAAAATCAGCCAGTGGTTGAGGCAGACTAGAGGCTTCAGGAAATGGAGTCTCCCTCTGTCGCCCAGGCTGGAGTGCAGTGGCGCGATCTCGGCTCACTGCAACCTCTGCCTCCCAGGTTCACGTGATTCTCCTGCCTCAGCCTTCCGAGTAGCTGGGACTACAGGTGCCCGCCACCACACCTGGATAATTTTTGTATTTTTAGTAGACAGGGTTTCACCACGTTGGCCAGGCTGGTCTCGAACTCCTGACCTCAAGTGATTTGGCTGCCTAGGCCTCCCAAAGTGCTGGGATTACAGGCATGAGCCACTGCGCCCGGCCCTAGGTTCTTACCCTAACTCCACCACTAACTCAATTGTAATCAGGGAATGTCCCTCCTTTTTGGAGCTGGTTTGCTTCTCTGTAAATAAGGGACTGGGCTCATTGATGGCAAAAATGTGGCAGAATACTATTTATCTTCTGTGTTGTGCCTAGAGGGCACCCACTAGGTCACAGCAGCACTCTTTCCCAAAGAGCCTAGATGTGTCACCGTGATTCTCCCGTGCTTTAGACACCCTCACTAACAATAGCGGGGAGGTTATGCCTCTTTGCCATCTGTGTACAAGGCGACCTGGAAGGGCCTTCCAGCTCTAACATCTCATAGTTCTAAAACTTAGGTTGGAGAGGGGGCACTGAACTCCTAGGTTTACAGAGATGTTCACCTTAAGCCCTGATGAAGTCTTTTCTTAAAAGAGTGACTTGAAGATGAGGAAGGATGTCAGAAGGCCCCTCCCGCTTCCTCCAGGAGGGAGGAGGGAGGGACCCAGGGCTGGTCCACTTGAGGCTGCTGATGGCCTTGGCTAAGGAGCAGAGGATTCTAAGGCTGTTGTCAACAGTTCCTTTGAGGCCGTGGGGTTCCTTGGTCCAAGTACAGTTTGCCCACAGCCTTGCATCCTTTCCCATAGATCCTCTCTCACTATCCATCAAACCCAAGCCAAGTCTCTTGTAGATGCTCAATTAGGAGACAGGCCAGAACCAGCCTAAGGGATATACAAGTCAAACCCTGTTACGTGCTGTAGAAAGTCACACATACAGTCCATAGTTCAGCAATACACACGCTGGAAACCCCAAATTCCATAAGAAAATGGTACTTAAGAACAGTGATTCTCAAAGGTCTTGCAGAACTCTGAAGTTCCAGATACTGAGCCAAAATGATTCAACAGGAAAATTGAATGGTGATTCTTTTTTCGAACTACAGGAAAAGTTTGAGTGGAGAGGATTTTCCCAGTTGTGCCTTTTTTCCCTTTTCCTCACTTTTTCTTAAGATTTACAAGCTCCCCCCACTTGCCTGTTAACAAGCGGCCAGAGTAGATCTCACTATTTCTAAGTGTGACCACACTTTTGTTAAAAATCTACTTTGGGTTGGGCGTGATGGCTCATGCCAGTAATCCCAAAACTTTGGGAGGCCGAGGGGAGGTGAATCACTTGAGGTCAGGAGTTGGAGAGCAGCCTGGCCAACATGGCAAAACCCTGTCGCTACTAAAAACACAAAAATTAGCCCGACATGGTGGTGCATCATGCCCGGCTACTCGGGAGGCTGAGGCAGAAGAATGGCTTGAACTCTGGAGGCGGAGGTTGCAGTGAGCCGAGATCGCGCCACTGCACTCCAGCCCGGGCAATAGAGTGAGACTCCATCTCAAAACAAACAAAAAAATTCTACTTTGTTTTCAAAATATTCAACACTGTCCCACTGAATGACAGTGAGCCCTCTCCCGTGGAAGGGGGATTTGTGGTTGTCTTCTTGGAGATCCCCAAACTTTTGCTTTGGAAATGTAGACTCTTTTACTAATTTTTAAAAATTATCATACATGCATTTGACACAAAAGTTAAGAGGAACAAAAGGGCAAATAGTAAAAAGTAAGTGTCGCTAGGTGTGGTTGCATGCGCCTGTAGTCCCAGCTGCTGGAGAAGATGACTTGAACCCAGGAGTTCGAGGCCAGCCTGGGCAATATAGTGAGGCCCTGTCTCAAAAAAAAAAAAAAAAATGGGTCTCCTTAAATCCTGTTTCCCGATGTCCCAGGTTCCCTGCCCAGAAGCAACCACAATTTTCAAGCAACCACCTTTTTTTTTTTTTAAAGAAAAAGAAAGAAGATCAAAGCATCTGCTCCATACACTCTTGGTACTGTTTTTTAATCAAATTGGTGACAACTTGTTATATATGTATACATTATAAATGTATGCATGTATGTATATCTTTATTAGGAAAAGACTTGGTGACCAAAGTCAGTAAAGCTTTTAAGTTACATTTTATTCATCACATCAGTATCCACATACATTTATTTTATTTTTATTTTATTTTATTTTTTTGAGACGGAGTTTCACTCTGTTGCCCAGGCTGGAGTGCTATGGCGCGATCTCGGCTCACTGCAACCTCCCCGCCTCCTAGGTTCAAGTGATTCTCCTGCCTCAGCCTCCTGAGTAGCTGGGACTACAGGCGCCCACTACCGTGCCTGGCTAATTTTTGTATGTTTAGTAGAGACGGGATTTCACCAAGTTGGTCAGGCTGGTCTTGACCTCCTGACCTCAGGTGACCCACCCGCCTCGGTGTCCCAAAGTGCTGAGATTACAGGCGTGAGCCACCGTGCCCGGCCTTGTATCCACATACATTTAGAAGAGAGCTGTTTGTGGATGAATGGAATAGTAAGCCATCAGCCTAGGCCTGCATAGGGGTAGTTTGAACTGTGCTCCTGCTAAAAACACACGGCCACCCCCACCCAGGGCTCCAGGCCAGAGTGGACCTTCTGTCTGTCTGTCTGTCTGCTGCCCACATTGTAATAGCCCAGTGGGTTCATTTTGCCCTCTGCCCAGATAGAGTTGATTTATCAAGACAGGGGAATTGCAATAAAGAGTTTAATTCATGCAGAGCCAGATGAATGGGAGACTGGAGTTTTATTATTACTCAAGTCGGTTTCTCCAAAAATTCGAGGACTGGGTTTTTTGTTTTGTTTTTTTGTTTTGTTTTTTTAGATGAACTCTTGCTCTGTCACCCAGGCCGGAGTGCAGTGGCGCTATTTCGGCTCACTGCAACCTCCACTTCCCTGGTTCAAGCGACTCTCCTGCCTCAGCTTCCCGAGTAGCTTGGACTACACCACACCCGGCTAACTTTTGTATTTTTAGTAGAGATGGGGTTTCACCATATTGGCCAGGCTGGTTTTGAACTCCTGACCCTGTGATCCGCTCGCCTGGGCCTCCCAAAATGCTGGGATTACAGGCGTGAGCCACCGCGCCTGGCCAGGACTGTTTTTTTTTTTTAAAGGATAATTTGGTGGGTAAGGGTCCAGGGAGTGAGGAGTACTGATCGCTGGGGTTGAAGCTGAAATCATAGGATGTCGAAGTCGCCCTCTTGCGCTGAGCGGGTTCCTGGGTAGAGGCCACAAGACCAGATGAGCCAGTTAATCAGTCTGGGTGGCGACAGCTGAGCCATTGAGTGCAGGGTCTGAAAAATATCTCGAGCACTCATGTTAGGTTTTACAATAGTGATGTTATCTCGAGGAGCAATTGGGGAGGTTTAGAATCTTGTGGCCTCTGGCTGAATAACACCTAAACTATAATTTCTAATCTTGTGGCCAGTTTTTTAGTCCTATAAAGGCAGTCTGGTCCCTAGGCAAGAAGGGGGTTTGTTTCTGGGAAAGGGCTGTTATCATCTTTGTTTCAAAGTTAAACTATAAACTAAGTTCTTCCCAAAGTTAGTTCAGCTTATGCCCAGAAGAATGAACGAGAACAGCTTGGAGGTTAGAAGCAAGATGAAGCCGGTTAGGTCAGACCCCTTTCACTGCTGTAATTTCCCCACTGTTAGAATTTTTGCAAAGGTGGTTTCGACATTGTACCTCGATTCTCAGGGCTCTGCCTCCTGCACACATTTTAGTGCTCAGATTGCCTAGATGTCTTTAGCCTCACTCGTGAACCTGTGCCAGAGTTGGAAAATTAACAATTTGATGTCAACTGTCCACAGTGATGAGGCTGGTATGCTGTCCTACTTTCTGTTTGAAGAGCTGATGCGATGTGACAAAGATTCCATGCCAGATGGAAATCTGTCAGAGGAGGAAAAATTGTTTCTCTCATATTTTCCTTTGCACAAGTTTGAGCTAGAACAGAACATCAAAGAACTTAACACCCTTGCGGACCAAGTTGACACCACTCACGAGTTGCTTACCAAGACCAGCCTGGTGGCCAGCTCTTCCGGGGCTGTTTCTGGGGTCATGAACATCCTGGGTTTGGCCCTAGCACCTGTGACAGCAGGAGGCAGTCTCATGCTCTCAGCAACTGGGACAGGGTTGGGGGCAGCAGCTGCCATCACCAACATAGTAACAAATGTCTTAGAAAATAGAAGCAATTCAGCAGCAAGAGACAAAGCCAGCCGACTGGGGCCTCTGACAACATCACATGAGGCTTTCGGAGGAATAAATTGGTCTGAAATCGAGGCTGCTGGCTTTTGTGTTAATAAGTGTGTAAAAGCTATCCAGGGCATCAAGGATCTTCATGCCTACCAGATGGCCAAATCCAACTCTGGCTTCATGGCTATGGTCAAGAATTTTGTGGCCAAGAGACACATCCCTTTCTGGATGGCTAGAGGGGTGCAGAGAGCCTTTGAGGGCACAACTCTGGCCATGACCAATGGTGCCTGGGTGATGGGTGCTGCTGGGGCTGGCTTCTTACTTATGAAAGACATGAGCAGCTTCCTGCAGAGCTGGAAGCACCTGGAGGATGGGGCAAGGACGGAGACAGCAGAGGAACTGAGAGCACTTGCTAAGAAGCTGGAGCAGGAGCTGGACCGGCTCACCCAGCACCACCGGCACCTGCCGCAGAAGGCGAGCCAGACCTGTTCCAGCTCCCGGGGCAGGGCTGTTCGAGGATCCCGTGTGGTTAAACCAGAAGGTAGGAAGGCAGCGAATAACACGGACGTGGTCTTGCTCTTCTAAAAGCTTACCATGAGGGTGGGGGGCGACGAATGCTAAACGGACACATCAGTGCATAACTACAGCTGCCCCTTCTGCAAAGAGAGGACTTGCCGCACACCCCTGACATTAACTAGGCGCCCTCTGTTCTTCCCAGAATTGCGTTCTGTTCTCTCAAAGCCCTGACCATAAATAACCATAAATTCTTGAAATCCCATATTTGTGTGTTTGTGGGGGTGCTCCCTGTCTGCCTCTCCTGTGGTCTGCAGGCTCTGGCAGGGAAGGATAATTTGGCGGATAGGGGTCCAGGGAGTGAGCAGTGCTGGTTGCTGGGACTGGAGATGACATCATAGGAAGTCGAAGTCGCCCTCTTGCGCTGAGCCGGTTCCTGGGTAGAGGCCACAAGATCAGATGAGCCAGTTTATCAGTCTGGGTGGCGACAGCTGAGCCATTGTGTCCCTCTTGTCCATACCAGTATCCCCAGCACCTAGCAGTGCTTGGCACATAGCCAGTGTGCCGGAAATACGTGTTGAATGACGTGAATGTGGCATTGCGTGATAAAAACGGCACTTCAAATGAGTTGGGAAAGGATTTTTATTTGAAAAGTAGTTTACATTTCTAGACTCTCCTATGTAGAGAAATTAAATTCCTAGATATAAAAACTGAAACAAGAAAACTGCTACCAAAAAATAAAGGAGAATTTCGAGATTCATCTTTAATAGAATGACGCGGTAGCAAGGTCACAACCTGAAACCCGGGAAAAGGACACATAAGTGTTTGCCGAAGATGTGAAGGCTCAAATGTTCATTCACTCATTGTCCATTCAACAGATTTTCATTAAGTGGGGCCTGTGATGGGCCGAGGACTTAGGAGGTGGCTCCAAATGTGTCTGCATGTTGGAATTATCTGGAAACTGCAAAAAATACTGATGAGTGGGTGGGTCCCACCCCCAGGGACTGGGCTTTATTTGGTCTGGGATATGACCTGGATTTTAGACCTTTTTTTTGTTTTTTATTTTTTATTTTTTGAGACGGAGTCTCGCTCTGTTGCCCAGGCTGGAGTGCAGTGGCGCCATCTTGGCTCACTGCAAGCTCCGCCTCCCGGGTTCACGCCATTCTCCTGCCTCAATCCCCCGAGTAGCTGGGACTACAGGCGCCCGCCACGACGCCTGGCTAATTTTTTGTATTTTTAGTAGAGACAGGGTTTCACCGTGTTAGCCAGGATGGTCTCGATCTCCTGACCTCGTGATCCACCCGCCTCAGCCTCCCAAAGGGCTGGGATTACAGGCGTGAGCAACCGCGCCCGGCCGACTTTAGACATTTTTAAAGATCTCCAGGTAATTCTGCGGTGCCGCCAAGTTTGGGACCCACTGCCCTGGGGCGGGAGGGGTTTTCTTCTTCTCAAAGCCAATAGAAATTTGCTCTCTGGGGACATATTTGAGCTTCTGAACGTCCAGGGGCAGATCTCTTTCTTGGAAGTTGTAAGACACAGGGACTCATGTTCCACAGGGTCTCGCTCACCTCTCCCCTGGCCTGTTGTGGAGCACCAGCCTAGGCTGGGCCCTGGCGTGGCACTGAGGACACCAAAGAGGACAGTCTGTGCCCCAAGGATGCTTGGCCACCAGCCAGCCCCACCAGCACCAGCAAGAAAGGGGAGACAGGCCCCGGGAAGACACCGACAATGAGAAGAGGTAAGTGGGACGCAAGGAAGCCAGGAGCTGTGGGAACCCCTGACAGTGAAGTAACCCCTCCTTGGGTGGGTGGGCTTCAGGGAAAGAGAGGGAGGGCCTAACGGGGACAGAGGTTGTTGCTACCTTTCCATCCGGCCACCTGCCACGCCACCTGGTGCCTTTGCCAGTCAGTGAGATCACTGAGCTCTCTCTGTACTTCCTGCCAGATGGGCCATTCGTTCATTCATGAAGTTAATCAATGCACAAATCTCAATTGGGCACACCTCTGTGCCGGGCATCATGCCAGACCTAGCAGTGAATAAGACAGAAAAGGACTAGGTGTGCAAAGTGAAGAATGACCTCGCCCAGCCCTGTAATATGTGGGAGCTCAAGTGAACCCACTGTGGGATCCCTAAGATGCTGCAGAAGTGAGTAAACTATTTCCTTTCTTTTTTTTTTTTATACCCTAGTTGGTCACCCTGTCACCACTGAACCTTGATTTAACAGAGGCAAAATGCAAGTCTTCCCTGAAGAATACTGGGGGTAGGGAAACTTCTAGTGGCAATGATAAAACCAGCAGCAATGATAATAGAAGGCAAACTTGCAATGGTCTGTGGTAACCCCTGGGGACTCCAGAAATACCTGGGGTGGAAGAGAAATTTGCAAGAGACCAGGCTTTTTTGTGTGTACAGATGGAATTGGAGGCCAAGAAGACCTACGTGTTCATGTTAATTAAGACTGGAGCCGGGACACATTCCAAACTCATGGATTTTCCAAATTGTATGTAACTACATAGTACCTTTATAATGAAAATGAAAAAAGTTTTAAACTATCACCTGCCACTCCTCCCCCTCTTCCCTCCTGTCATCTGTCATGACTCTGCAAGTCAACACCTTTGCATGGAGACTGTTGCTCAAGCTAAGATCCATTCTCCATTTCCAGGGCCCTGCAATGACAAGTTAATGATTTGAGAAAAGCTGTTATTGAGAGAAAACTATCCCTTTACTGTAGCATAATTTATAATCATGAAAAATATGGAGCCATTAAAATGTTCTAACACTAGGGAACTGGTTACATACAAAATATTCATCCACTTGATAAAACACTACATAGCTGTCAGAAATGATGCTCACTCAATGACTGGGTTAACGTGGAAAATGTTGATTGTATTATTAGGTGGAAAAGAGCAAGGACTTTCTTACCTTTTACCTAAGGGGAAACACATCTCTCAAACTTGTGTGTAGGAAAACAAAACCCCTTAAAGGAATACAGCAAGGTCACAATGCAGCTGTTTATTTAGAGGTAAATTTGGTGATTCCTTCCCCTCTTCTTTCTGCCTTTCTGTGTTTTTCAAGTTTTCAGTTATGCACATTACAGTTTTATAAAATAGAAGGAATATAGATAATAAATATTTACATCAAATCTAAAATAAAATGTTTAAAAAGAGGACAAACTCAGCCGGGTGCGGAGGCTCACGTCTGTAATCCCAGCACTTTGGGAAGCCGAGGTGGGCAGATCACGAGATCAGGAGATTGAGACCAGCCTGGCCAACGTGGTGAAACTCCATCTCTACTAAAAAATACAAAAAATTAGCTGGGTGTGGTGGCGGGTGCCTGTAGTCCCAGCTACTCACGAGGCTGAGGCAGGAGAATCGCTTGAACCCAGGAGGTAGAGGTTGCAGTGAGCCGAGATCGTGCCACTGCACTCCAACCTGGCAACAGAGGGAGACTCCATCTCAAAAAAAAAAAAAAAAAAAGAGGTTGGGCGCGGTGGCTCACGCCTGTAATCCCAGCACTTTGGGAGGCCGAGGCAGGCAGATCACGAGGTCAGGAGATTGAGACCATCCTGGCTAACACGGTGGAACACTGTC
Source organism: Homo sapiens (assembly GCF_000001405.40). Classification (NCBI taxonomy): domain Eukaryota; kingdom Metazoa; phylum Chordata; class Mammalia; order Primates; family Hominidae; genus Homo; species Homo sapiens. The sequence goes on from NT_187630.1 coordinate 45,521, forward strand.
TCTACTAAAAATACAAAAAATGAGCTGGGCGTCGTGGCGGGCACCTGTAGTCCCAGCTACTCGGGAGGCTGAGGCAGGAGAATCGCTTGAACCCGGGAGGCAGAGGCTGCAGTGAGCTGAGGTCGCGCCACTGCAGTCCAGCCTGGGTGACAGAGCAAGGCTCTGTCTCGAAACAACAACAACAACCAAAAAGGACAACCTCATAGTCAGCGGGTCTTCATTTATTAATAGCTTTGTTAGTTGCTTGAGTGCATGCAGACTCCTTCTCATCACAGAACAAGGCAACAGTGGAAGAATGGGTGTTTCCACAGAAGACCACCCCATGGTTGTTAGCAATGGCTGGAAAGCGTAGGGAGCCTCCAGCCCATCTGTCCATCCACCCATCCATCCATCCAAAACCAAAAAGGCATTGTTCTAGGCACTGGGGAAAAGCAGTAAACAAAATGAATCCTGCCTTCACGAAGTTTTCATTCTCAAGGTGGAGGCAGGGGAACACGGAAAAGAAACACAGTAAATCAGTGTTACGGTGTATTATAAAGTAATGAGTGTTGGGGAGAAAAATAAGTTTGGGAAGGAGTTATACAGAATTGTTGGATGGGGCAGGAGCACAGTTTCAAATAGGATCATCGGGGCATGCCTCTCTGAGAGGCTGATCTTCCAGCAAAGACGTGAAGGAGGTGAGGGTGTCTGGGAGAAGAGCATTCCAGATGGAGGGAGCAGCAAGGGCAAACACCTGCTTGTGACGTTCAGGGGGCCGCAGGTGGGGCGCCGTGCGGGGAACAGAGGGAGGCGGGGGAATGGGAAGGGAGGGTAGGAGAGGAGGCTGGAGAGAGAGCTGGAGGCCAAAAGTGCAGGGTCTTAGAGCTACAGTAAGGATTTGGGCTTGTACTCTGAGTGAGGCGGGGACACATGGGGGATTTCAGGCAGTGGAGTTACCTAATGGCTTAGATTTTAGGAGGATCACTCTGGCTGCTGTGCTGAGAGGAGACCGCAAGACAAGGCGATGCCAGGGATATCTGTTAGCAAATGTTGGAAACAACCCTCTGGAGAGGGGATGGTGACCTGAACCAGTGTGGTGGCAACAGAGGTGGTGAGAAGTGGTCAGATTTTGGATCTGTTCTGAAGGGAGAGCCCACAGGATTTGTTCATGGACTGGACCTGTGGTGTGAGGGAAAGAAGAGCCAGGATAACGGGGGGTTGTGGCCTGAGCAACTGGCGGGATGGAGCTGTTGGCACCTGAAATGGACAGGTGGGAGCCGGAGTGGGGTGAGAGCAAGGTGCTCAGGGTGGACGTGTCACGTTTGTGATGCCCAAAGACACATGCAAGGGGAGGTGCTGAGTAGGTGATGAGATCCATGCATCCGATTCAAGATGTGGGGTCTCCAACAACAAATTAGTCGGAGATACAAATTTGTAAATAGATGGTATGTAAAACCGTAAGAGTGGGTAAGATTATCAAAAGAGTGAACACAGGTCCGAGAAATATGTCGAAGGCCAGCCCCTGGGCACCCCAGCTTGAAGAGAATGTGGAGAGCAGGGGAACCCTCAAAGGAGACTGAGAAGGAAGCAGCCACTGAGGGAAGAGGGGCACCAGGAGTGGGTGTCCAGGAAACCAAGTGAGGAAAGCCTGAAAGTGCAGAAGTGATACACCGGACCAGTGCTGCGGACAGGTCAAGGACAGGAGAATCGATCTGATTTAGCAACATGAAGACCACTGATGGCCTCGATGAGAGCAGTTATGGTGAAGTGGCTGACGACAAAAAGCCTGAATGGAGAAGTTTTAAAAGAAGGCAGAAAGAGGCTGGGCGCGGTGGCTCACGCCTGTAATCCCAGCACTTTGGGAGGCCGAGCTGGGCGGATCATTTGAGGTCAGGAGTTCGAGACCAGCCTGGCCAACATGGTGAAACGCTGTTTCTACTAAAAATACAAAATTTAACCAGGTGTGGTGGCAGGCGCCTGTAATCCCAGCTACTTGGGAGGCTGAGGTGGGAGAATCCCTTGAACCCAAGAGGCGGAGGTTGCAGTGAGCCAAGATTGCGCCACTGCACTCCAGCCTGGGCCACAGAGCAAGACTCTGTCTCAAAAAAAAAAAAAGAAAGAAAGAAAGAAAAAAGAAAAAAAAGCAGAAAGTACAGTGTTTTGGAGGGGTTTTGCTGGAGGAAGAAGTGAGGTCAGAAAAGGGAAAAAAATTAAAGATGGAAGAAATACTAGCATGGTTCTGTGCTGATGGGGATGATCCAATAAGGAAGAGAGGGTGGAGGAAACTCCCGGGGAATGTCCCCCACCCTTTCAGCTCCCAGTGCCCGTGTTGGATGCAGCCTGCACTGGAACCCTGTCTCCAGACCTGACATCCTGGCGGTACCATCCCAGCTCCATCCCACTTCCCAAGCAGCCTCTGCAGCATGGTTTTTAGAGATACATGGCAACGTACCAATAAAATCTGATATATGACATTCTGTAGGTAAGTTCTCCTTTTCACACCAGGAGCTCAGCGTGGATGTGTTAAGAATACCCTCCTAGGGAAACTCCTGCTGTATCCCCGACCAGCCACAAGATTCATTTCAGGCAGGGCGCAGTGGCTCATGCCTATAATCCCAACACTTTGGGAGTCCGAGGCGGAAGGATCGCTTGAGCTCAGGAGTTGCCCAGCTGGTCTCAGACACGGTGAAAGCCCATCTCTTTTAAAAATACAAAAATTAGCCAGGTGTGGTGGTGCATGCCTGTGGTCCCAGCTACTCAGGAGGCTGAGGTAGGAGGATCGCTTGAGCCTAGGAGGTTCAGGCTGCAGTGAGCTGAGATTGCACCACTGCACTCCAGCCTGCCCAGAAACTCCTTGATCCCTGTTCCCCTCCCCGACAAAAAGGGAAGAAGAAATATTCACTGAAAGTTTGCTATGCATTAGGAACTCTGCTAAGTGTTTTCCCAACTTTACCAAATGACAGATGGCAAATAGTTTTGGAAAACTTAGCACTTTCTAGACACTGTGCTGAGTACTTTACACGTCCTGTCTTATCCTTGCAAAACACTGCTACAGTAGGAACATTTATTGTCTGAAGTTTATAGACAAGGACTCTAGGGTGCAGAGCTGTTAAGTATTAATAAGTTGCTCAAGGTCATCCACCTAGCAGGTGGCAAATCTGAGTTAGAACCCTTCAACTCTTGGTTCCTTGCTCTTAACAATTAGCCTGCACTGCCTTGGTTATCCTGAGGTCGCACCACTAAAGCACGGAAGGGCTGAAATTCACACATGCCTGTGCTTGTAGGCCTAAGGGAGAAATTTGAAGTTTGAGCCTGAGCAAGTGTTGCCAATGCTGGCAACACTTACTCTTAAAATGATTTGGAGATTAATATTTTCCACACACACACATCAAAATTAATAGTTACATTCAGTCTGCACTTGGCAGGGATTTTTCACAAGCATTGATCCAAATTCTCCCAGATTTGTGTAAGGCAAGGGTCAGCAGTGCGTGGGCCAAACCAGGCCTACCACCTGTTTCTTAAAGTTTTATTGGAAGATTACCAGGTCCTCCACTGATTGTCTGCAGCTGCTTTTGTGCTACAGTGGCCAAGTTGAGAAGCTGTGACAGAGACCGAAAGGCCTGTGCAACCTAAAATATTTACCATCTGGTGACATTCAGAAACAGCGGGTTGACCCCTGGTCCAAAGCATTCAAGACAAGCAACTTTTGAGTATCTAGAATTCTGGCTTTCAAAATGAGAAATTGCCGTCTGTGAGCCGGGAAACCAATTTCCGAACCTAGAAGGAACCAGGGGGCAATGGTGTTTCTGTGAGAGCACTTTGCACACTTGCCTCCTTTCTGTCACAGGGCCAGGCAGCCCTCAAGCGAGTAAGGTGAAAGGTTGGAGGTAGGTTCAGTGCTGACCTCAAGAGAGGCCTGGCGCTGGGCAGTCTACCCTGTCCCTCCCCACAGAGCTCACTGCCTCACTTTCCACCTGGCCTCTTTCTCCTCCCGCAGACCAGTTCTCTCTGCACTACTCATCGGCTTACCCGTGGATCCAGGCTCAGAAAACATTCCACCTGTGTGAAACTGTGCAAGACCCACGGATCCAGGCTCAGAAAACTTGCCACCTGTGTGAAACTGTGCAAGACCCGTGGATCCAGGCTCAGAAAACATTCCACCTGTGTGAAACTGTGCAAGACCCACGGATCCAGGCTCAGAAAACTTGCCACCTGTGTGAAACTGTGCAAGACCCGTGGATCCAGGCTCAGAAAACATTCCACCTGTGTGAAACTGTGCAAGACCCACGGATCCAGGCTCAGAAAGCATTCCACCTGTGTGAAACTGTGCGAGACCCACGGATCCAGGCTCAGAAAGCATTCCACCTGTCTGAAACTGTGCGAGACCCACGGATCCAGGCTCAGAAAGCATTCCACCTGTGTGAAACTGTGCGAGACCCGCGGATCCAGGCTCAGAAAGCATTCCACCTGTGTGAAACTGTGCGAGACCCGCGGATCCAGGCTCAGAAAGCATTCCACCTGTGTGAAACTGTGCGAGACCCGCGGATCCAGGCTCAGAAAGCATTCCACCTGTGTGAAACTGTGCGAGACCCGCGGATCCAGGCTCAGAAAGCATTCCACCTGTGTGAAACTGTGCGAGACCCGCGGATCCAGGCTCAGAAAGCATTCCACCTGTGTGAAACTGTGCGAGACCCGCGGATCCAGGCTCAGAAAGCATTCCACCTGTGTGAAACTGTGCGAGACCCGCGGATCCAGGCTCAGAAAGCATTCCACCTGTGTGAAACTGTGCGAGACCCGCGGATCCAGGCTCAGAAAGCATTCCACCTGTGTGAAACTGTGCGAGACCCGCGGATCCAGGCTCAGAAAGCATTCCACCTGTGTGAAACTGTGCAAGGCTCCTCCTGCCACTGTTGTGACTTTCTCACAAAACGGGGACGAGAATGAGGAGTTCTTATGAAGAACTCAGTTTCATTTTTAAGTGAAAATTAAATGAGATCTCATATGCGAAGGCACCTACGGTCACCCCCGGTAGCTGACAGACGTTCAGCCAATGCTGTGCTTCCAGAAAGCACAACAGGACACTCGGGAAGCATTTACTGACTGCTCTGGATGAAGAGAACCCTGGAGCAGGAACCCTGAGCTAGCACAGAAGACCCCAACTTTGGAGAACTTACCATTCCGCTGGAAAAACCATTTTATGCTCCTGTTTATTCTATCAGGCAAACACTTTCAAACACCAGCAAGGCAACATTTGGAAAAGGGGAGGCTCCTTAGCCCCCACTCCTGCCAATAACTGGCGATATGCTCTTGCGTTTAGCCTCTCTGGGCCCTTTGCTCCTGTATTGGTCAAATAGAGGCTTGAACTATTTGAATGTCAAGGGAAGGAGTGGAAGGGCCTCCACTCAGTGAAGAAAGACTCACGGAGCCCCCATGACCACTGGGTGCCAGGATCCACGCAGGGCCTAGGGGCACAGCCCCAGCAAAGCTGCCCGGGTTCTTGCTGGGGTTTGAGGCCTCGCTCTATGACCTCTCTGTGCCTCAGTTTCCTGAGGACACAAGAAGCAAACAATTCAGCAGGGAAGATATGACCTGACCAATTAGAACTGAGAGGTCAAGGGGATGTTGGGACTTAAGTCTCAGAACCCATGACATTGTCCTGTCTTTGGAACCTGGGGCGGTTGTCCAGAGCGCTTGGCTCATCCCTGTGGATCACACGATTACTAATAACAGTAATGAAACATTTATTGAGTGAATACTATGTGCCATGTATTTCTAAGCATTTTACATATATGAACATTTTTTTTTTGGTCTGAGACAGAGTTTCACTCTTGTCGCCCAGGCTGGAGTGCAGTGGCGTGTTCCTGGCTCACTGCAACCTTTGCCTCTCAGGTTCGAGCGATTCTCCTGACTCAGCCTCCCAAGTAGCTGGGATTACAGGCATTTGCCACCATGCCTGGCTAATTTTTTTTGTATTTTTAGTAGAGACAGGGTTTCACCACGTTGGCCAGGCTGGTCTTGAACTCCTGACCTCAGGTGATCCACCCGCCTCAGCCTCCCAGAGTGCTGGGATTACAGGCGTAAGCCACCGCGCCCAGCCCATATATGAACTTTTAAAATCCTTACATCAACCCTCTCAAGTAGAGACTAATACCATCTCCATTTGACAGATGGAAACACTGAGGCAGGCTAAGCAACTCCTGCAAAGGCACATGTCCAGGAAGTGGCAGCGCCACATTTCAAGTTTAGACAGCTGGGATCCGGAGCCCATGCTTTACATCCTGAAAGAATAAGGCTTTCTCAGAGCAGAGGAGCACACCCTCTAGAGGCTCTTTCTCAGGCACATCCCTCGCCTCTTCTGGGTTCATGAGCTGTCTTCTGTAGAGCAAGCAGATCTACAGTTACGCTGGGGTGTGGTAAAACCCACCTGAGGACGGCCCGGCGCGGTGGCTCACGCCTGTAATCCCAACACTTTGGGAGGCGGAGGTGGGCAGATCACAAGGTCAGGAGATCGAGACCAGCCTGACCAACATTGTGAAACACCGTATCTACTAAAAATACAAAAATTAGTTGGGTGTGGTGGCACGTGCCTGTAATCCCAGCTACTTGGGAGGCTGAGGCAGGAAAATTGCTTGAATCCCGGGAGGCAGAGGTTGCAGTAAGCTGAGATCGTGCCGCTGTACTCCAGCCTGGTGACAGAGTGAGACTCCATCTCAAGAAAAAAAAAAAGAACCACATGAAGGCTCTACTCAGATCAATCCTAGTCCTGACTCCCACAGCTGGCCTGGCAGGTCCCACAGACACTGAGGGATGTATGGCAGCTCCAGGGCTCTGGTACTGGAGACAGAGAGCTGAATACAAAAGAGGCCGCCTCAAAGAATTCAAAATAACACAGCACGAAGCCAAGTATGGCAAGAATAAAGTCATGCTGCAGAGAGCTCAGAGGCAAACGAGATGATGGGGGCTGGATTATGTCGGAAATGTTCAGAGAAATGGTCTTGAGGGAAAAGGAGGTGGAAGGACAGGCTGTGTGGGAGAAAAAAAAAGGGGATTTCTGGTCAGGCATGGTGGCTCACGCCTATAATCCCAGCGCTTTGGGAGCTGAGGCAGGCAGATCACTTGAGGTCAGGAGTTCGAGACCAGCCTGGCCAACATGGTGAAATCCCATCTCTACTAAAAATACAAAAACTAACCAGGCTTGGTGGCACATGACTGTAATTTCAGCTACCCAGGAGGCTGAGTCAGGAGAATTGCTTGAATCTGGGAGGCAGAGGTTGCAGTGAGCCAAGATCGTGCCACTGCACTCTGGCTTGGGTGACAGAGTGAGACTCCATCTCAAAAAAAAAAAAAAAAAGAAAGAAAGAAAAGAAAAGAAAGAAATGAACGGTGGGGGGGCATTCAGTGGCTGGTGGCTGGGCCAGGGCATGCACTCCTACCTCGAGCCAGATCCGGGTGTAGGTCCCTGCCCTTGCAGACCCTGGTCATGTCCTAGGTCCTTGCGGTGAACAGACAAGGAAGGCCCCCGCCCTTGTGGGACTTACAATCTCGTGGGGATGGTCTTTGAGGTCCCTTTCAGTTTGGGCTCCTCATTGCTGATTCTAAGCCTGAAAGATGGTTTGAGGCCAGGACAGGGAGGTACCTTCAATGCCGGGCTAAGGAGTTTAGAATTTTGCCCACGGACAACAGAAGCCGTCCATGGAGATGGAGCAGGCGCTTATCTGAGAACAAAGGTGTTTAGGAAGAGTGATCTCGCGGAGAGGCACAGAACCACAATCCTTGAATATTCCCACTGACTCCCTCATACCCTGGCTGCCTCTTCCCTGCATTTAAATTAATAGGCTTTAACATTAATAGACTTTATTTTTTAGAGTAAATTTGAGTGGAAAGCGCAGAGAGCTCCCCCACACCCTCTCCCCTCACCCTAGACCATCATCATCCAGCACCATGTGGTAACATTTGTTACCACTGATGAACCTTCATAGAGACAGCAATCCCAGCCTTTTTAAAAACGAGCTTTTCAGCCCAGCGTGGTAGCTCACGCCTCTAATCTCAGCACTTTGGGAGGCCGAGGTGGGTGGGTCACTTGAGGTCAGGAGTTCAAAACCAGCCTGATCAACATGGTGAAACTCTGTCTCCAGTTAAAAGAAAAAAAAATACAATATTAGCCAGGCGTGGTGGTGCACACCTGTAATCCCAGCTACTTGGGAGGCTGAGGCAGGAGAATCACTTGAACTCAGGAGGCGGAGGTTGCAGTGAGCCGAGATTGCACCATTACACTTCACCCTGGGCAACAGGAGCAAAACTCCATCTCAAAACAAAACAAAACAAAACAAACAACAAAAAAAGAGCTCTTCTGTTCTCTGTCTCTCAGCACCCTTTGAGAAGATGGCAAGATCCAAAAATCCTGTAGTGGCGGATTCCAGCCAGTGTGCACATTAAGATCATCTTTGGCCTCTTCACAAAATCCAGATGCTCAGACCCCACTTGGACCGAATGAGTTGGAGCCTGCGGGTCTGCAGCCTGGGTGTGTAAATAGGGCTCTGATTTGCTCCTTTGGTTGAGAACCTCCAATATTTGGCCTAGAACTGGGTCGGGCAGTCTCCAAAATGGAGGCACCATTTTCCTGACATGCCGCTGTGTGGTGCCAGCTTTTGTGACCACTTGGTCACAATTGCTCCTGTACAGTTTCTGTTGGGACTTAGTGAATGCACAGGCATTTTACGAGCTGCGAGGCAGAAAGGACTGAGCTCCCAGGGGAAGGTGGAGCGCTCAGGTGGGAGTGCACGATGGGATCAGCCCCGTGCCTGGGACTGAGCATTTGTTTAGACTTGATTTCCACCCGGAGAGACAAGTTCTGTTATCAACAATACAGAGTCAGCACTTCCACCTTGGGAGGGGCCCCACAGAATAGCTTTTTTTTTTTTTTTTTTTTTTTTTTTTTTTTTTTTTTTTTTTTTTTGAGACAGAATCTCACTCTGCCACCCAGGCTGGAGTGCAGTGACATGATCTCAACTCACTGCAACCCCCGCCTCCTGGGTTCAAGTGATTCTCCTGCCTCAGCCCCGAGTAGCTGGTGTTACAGGCGTGCAGCATCACGCCTGGCTAATTTTTGTATTTTTAGTAGAGATGGGGTTTTACCATGTTGACCAGGCTGGTCTCGAACTCCTGACCTCAGATGATCCACCCGCCTCGGCCTCCCAAAGTGCTGGGGTTACAGGCATGAGCCACCGTGCCTGGCCAGAATAGCTTATCTGTCCTGACATCCTACAGATGGGGAAGCTGTGGGGCAGATGGGCAGAGATTTCACTGAGACCACACAGCTTCCTATGGCTCAGGGAGAAACAGACACTTGGCTGCTGCTCCTGGAAATCCAGTTTTCTTTTCAAACAAACAAACAAAAAAACTGCATCATTCGTTGCCATCACAGGGGCCACTGGCTACTTGGGAGCATGGAGAGGAGGCTACTCTCTGAGCATTCCTTGTCCTCAACAGAGGCACAGAAATGGAAGCCTGAGGCCAGGGCCACCTTTTGACTCATCTTAAACTTTTTGTAAATTCATCTTGTGTTTTAAATAAAGTCTCAGAGAACTATGTGCGGTTTCATTCTCAGACACTCTGCCTGTGCTTGTCATATTCTTGGCTGTGAGTCTGAATCTGTGTCTCTTTGTGGAACCGTCAGTATGGTTTATATGATGGGAGCTCCAGCAGGTGCCTCAGTGAGGTATTAGGAAGCTGGACATGATTAATCTAGTCCTTTACCCTCTGGAAGCTCAGTCTGGTGGTGGGGAGAGACATGTACTAATTACCTAAGAGAAAATCCAGTTTCTCCAGGCTTTGTTTCCAAATGGCACCAATATATGGCTGCACGTCACCAATCAATGTTCATGTGATGGACGGAGGCTGCGGACTGGGGCTAAGCTTGAGTCAGAGAAAAGCATCATTGCTAAAGCCTGTCAAAACAGGAAGAATTATGTAAGTGGAAGGGGTTTGAGCCAAAAACAAATCAAATGTATAAAGCATCTACTATGTGCTAGACAAAGATGACTTGTCTTTGGATGCTGTCTGTCTAGTTGGTCCAGAGGTCAGCACCTCTCACTGTCTGATAAAAGGTCAGCCAGCCACATGCTACACCTGAGGACTATGGGTGGAGATCAAGGATTCAGCTCGACTTGCTGACTGTTTGCAAGTGGAGAGAGGTCCTCACTAAGGACCGGCAGCCACCCAAGACGAAAGTAGGAACACACCCCCCTTTAGCAAAATATCTTTCTTTACATCATTTTTCTCTTTCCTCCTTAGGGTTTTAAGATGGTTATTGCCAATTGTTGTCCAACTTATTGACCTAGGGAACTGCTTGGTGTGATTTTTTTCTGTCTCCCCCACATCCAATCCCTATGTTGATATCGGAACCCCCAGTGTGATGGTGTTAGGAGATGGGGCCTTTTGGGAGGTGATTAGATCATCAGGGTGGCGCCCTCATGAATGGGATTAGTGCCCTTATAAGAGGCCCCACAGAGCTAGCTAGCCTCTTCCACCATTGGATGAATAGTGAGAAGGAGCTCTAAGCCAGGAAATGGGCCCACACCAGCCATAGAATCTGCTGGAGCCTTGACCTTGGATTTCCCAGCCTCTGGAACTGTGAGAAATAAACTTATGTTATTTTAAAATTTTTTTTGAGATGGAGTTTCGCTCTTGTTGCCCAGGCTGGAGTGCAATGGCCCAATCTCGGCTCACTGCAACCTCTGCCTCTCAGGTTCAAGCGATTCTTCTGCCTCAGCCTCCCAAGTAGCTGGGATTACAGGCGCCCGCCACCATGCCCAGCTAATTTTTGTATTTTTAGTAGAAACAGGGTTTCACTATGTTGGCCAGGCTGGTCTTGAACTCCTGACCTCAGGAGATCCACCCCCACCTCACCTCCCAAAGTGCTGGGATTACAGGCGTGAGCCACTGCGTCTGGCCAGCTTCTGTTATTTAAAAATTACTCAGTTTATGGTATTTTGTTATCAGCTCAAATGGACTAGACAGGAACATAGGTTTTGAGTAGAAAAAGGGTTTATTTCAAGCATATTGAATTTTAGAAGCCTGTGGGGCTGCAGCTGGACGTGAGTCTAGACTCTAGGAAAGCTTTATGAACTCCAGTTTGGATTTAAGAGTCATTAGCTTACAGGCAGAAATGGGTCTCAACAGTGATCTTTTCAGTGGAGTATGGGAAGAAGTTGGCCTACAACTGAGCCCTAGAGGAATAACAAGATTTAAAAGAGAGCTGGAGGAAGAGGAGCCTACAAGAGGCAGAGAGGCAGCCAGAGACAGGAGTGCAGTGCTGGCTCTGATTTCTGTGGGGTTTCCACAAGAGCAGCACTTAGAAACACTAGCAGTCAGAGGTTAAAGGCATACACTTGGGAGCAACTGCCTGGGTTTGGATCCTGGTTCTGCAACTTCCTACTTATGTGACTTTGAGAAAGTTAGTTAATCTCTCTATGCGTCCAGCTTCATCTTTTAACAGAGGAATAACAATACTGTCAGGTATAGGCTTTGATTTCTCCTTCCTTAGAAGCTGATGCATTAGCCTGTTATTGTTTCACGGATATTGGTGGAAGACACACGACTCGGTGAGAGGCAAAGGACTTTATTACTCACAGTGCAGCAGGCAGCATGAGCACCAGCATATGGAACAGTTCCATGAGCCCCCGAGTCCCACAGGCCTGGATAGATGTGGCGCAGGTAGTAGGTTTGCGCTGCAGCTGAGGAGCACTGAGCTTAGGGGATCCACCTCTTTTATAACAGGTAGTAAGCAAGCTTGCTGTTTGTCCTGAGGGGATACAAGTTTTCTTGCTGCAAACACAACCCCCAGAAATGGCCTGGGGAAGGGGCAATCCAGGTTTTGCATGCTTGTCAAACCCAGCAGGAAGGCAGGAGCAGGAGCTGCAGACAGAAGTGCCTCAGGGGGCACCCGCCTCACAGAGCTGCTGGGAAGATGAAAGGAGTGAAAATGGGCAAGTGCCACCAACAGCGCTCCACACACATGTCCACTGTTGTTACTAGGGGTGGCAATGTGGAGGAAGGCAGGGCTGAAAAGTGCATCATTTACATCCAAAATGGAAAGCAGTAATTCAACAAATAGGTACTGAATGCTTACAATGCACCAGGCAAATGGAGATACAGCAGCCAACAGAACAAAGTCTTTGACCTCCAGGTGCCTGCATTTTAGTACAGAAAGACAGACACCAAATAAACTACCAGGGGAGCACATTGTACAGGGCCTTGTAGACCAAAATAAGGACTTGGAACTGGCTACGGGATGGGAAGCCAAAGAAGTTTGCACAAAAGCACGTCACAATCCGATTGAACAGGCTGTCGAGAGAACAAACTTCGGCGATGGAGAGCTGTCGGAGAAAAGGTGGAGGCAAGGAGACCAGTTTAGGAGATAAGACGAGGCGGGGCAAGGACGTGCCAGCTTGGAGTGGGTGGTGGTGGTGAGGTACTCGCTCACTTTGGCCTGTCACAGTCCAACACACAAGGGAAGCAGCCTTGGGAACACTCAGCAGTCAAGCAGGTGAACAGAGGAGCATCCGTTCACTGTCATCCTCAGGGGCTGCTTCCAGGTACTGGAGGTAGAAGGCAGGCAGCCACAGGGTGAAGATCAAGTAATTGGAGTCAGCCGGTAGAAACTTATTCCAGAAGTTTGCCACAAAAGAAACAACTTAGGGCCAGGTGTGGTGGCTCACACCTATAATTCTAGCACTTTGGGAGGCCGAGGCGGGTGAATCTTTGAGGTCAAGAGTTTGAGACCAGCCTGACCAACATGGTGAAACTCCGTCTCTACCAAAAATACAAAAATTAGCCAGGCTTGGTGGTGCATGCCTATAATCCCGGCTACTCACGAGGCTGACGAAAGAGAATTGCTTGAACCTGGGAGGCAGAGGTTGCAGTGAGTCGAGATAGCACCACTGCACTGCAGCCTGGGCAACAGAGTGAGACCCTGTCTCAAAAAAAAAAAAAAAAAAAAAAAAGAGTACAAGGAATAACTTGAGATTTTCCAATTTTTTTTTTAACTTAAGATCTAAGCACGCTTAAGTGCCAAAGGGACTATTGAGAGGAAGAGGCAAACCAGGCAAGGGAGGAAACTGAAGCAAAGCACCGAGCAGGTGGGAAAGGCTGGGATGCAGAGCACAGGTGTGGGGTTCACGGTGATGTGAAGAATGCCTCTAATAGAACGAGAGAGAAGGGGAAAGACACCCTGTGTGGAATTCAAGTAGGCTTGTAGATCTGGTAGGGAAACTTCATTCAGGGAGACTATGTCTGACAACCTCCATATTCTGTGAAATAGGAAGCATGATGATCTCATATGGTGAAGTGAAGGGAGTTAGAGATTTATGGATTATGGAGAATTTCAGAGATTTGGGAATTATTGGCTGAGAAACGAAACAAATGCAGCAAGGGATGGGTTTCAGCACAGGTAAGAAAGAAAAGAGGCCAGGTGTGCTGGCTCATGCCTGTAATGCCAGCACTTTGGGAGGCTGAGGTGGGAGGATCACTTGAGGCCAGGAGTTCGAGACCAGCCTGGGCAACACAGTGTAGCCCCATCTCTACAAAAAATGTTGCCGGGTGTGGTGGCGTGCACCTGTAGTTCCAGCTTCTCGGGAGGCTGAGGTGGGAGGATCACTTGAGCCCAGGAGTTTGAGGCTACAGTGAGCCTTGATCACACCACTGCACTCCAGCCTGGGCGACACAGTGAGACCCTGTCTCAAGGGGAAAAAAAGAAAAGAAACAGGGAGGAAAGGGCTAGGCAGGACATATTTTCTATGGCTGAACAAAAAGTGAAGGAGCCTGGGTGGCAGCCGGAGAGCCAGGGGCAGCAGGGACAGAGGAGGCAAGGCAGGGACATAACACTTTGATAAGGTCAAGTGGGGCCACAGCCCCTGGCAAGGACAGTGTCTGTGGTACAGTAAAGGCAGCAGTTGAATCTAGGGGAGGGTGGACGGTGAAGAAGTGAAGCTGAAAGATTTCAGAAGCAGCTTTTGGACAGACTGGAGTTCACAGCTGGGGAAGCTGAGAGCAGCTGACACACGCTTACCTTCTGGCTTCTCATCACCATTTAGAGCGTCTCACCTTAGAACGCCTGGCACTTTTCCTTCTTGTCCCCCCCTGCACCCCGCTTAAAAAGTCAAATCCAAGTGGTATCTTTGGAGCCTCAGGCAGAGGCAACAGGGAACGAGGATTAATACACACAGCCCAAAGAATGGTGTTTCTCTCTTTTATTTAAAAACAGTGCTTCATTACCATGTGCAAAGGCTGAGGCAGTGCTCCTCCTTCGCTTAGAGTTTATAAAAGCCAGCAACATGATCAATAATTTATACACATGGAGAGTAATACAAAAAAATAAGGAATAAAAGCTAAAGATCTAACTACTCCGACCTTCACAATTCCAGCTACTTGATAATAATAGGAGTAACCCAATGAATACTGTATGGTCTGAAAGCTACTATACAATATGATTCTTAACGAGAAGGGAAGGGAATTAGAGACTGTCACAAAGCCCTGGGATGCTTCTCTGGAGTTAGCAGGGAAACAGGACCCTGGGCAAGCAGCTCGGGTGTCCTAGGAAGTGATTCTGGGGGAGGACGGGAGGGGAGAGAGAAGGCTAGGTGGTCGATTACACAAGCATCCCATGTAATGCCCCCATGCCCCAAAGGTACCTGTTTTGCCATGGCAATGGGAGGGGCTGGAGGAACAGCATGTTGCATGTAGGGATGGTCCGGTCCCTGCCATGGGGAGTGGGGAGAAGAGGAGAGGTTCTGTGGCATTTTGAGCCTTGCAAAGATTTGGACTGAAAAGCTCAGAGACTCAGGTAGGTCAGCCTGTCAGGGACAAGTACACTCCACCGGCTCTCTTCTCGCTTTGCAGCCCTAGCTTACGCGTGTCAGCCCCAGGTTTGCTCCAGCTATTCACAAGCAGAATATAACACAAGAAAAACAATTCATATCCCTTAGGGAAAAAAGAGGATCAATTCATCACTCAATATATAATACAGCCAAAATGAGCTGCCAAAACAAGCACACACACAAATACTGTGAACAGAAAAATACAAGAAAATGACTAAGCTGGGAGTCTTGACGGGGTATGGACATTGCTTAAAGCACTTATCAGTCCCCAGAAAAACCAAACCAAAAACATTTTTTAAAAATTCAGAAACTCATGTACCCCCTGGGAAACTGGTGTTGGTAACAAAGGGCAGGGGGTGGGGAGAGAAAAGAGAATCACTGCTCCCTTTTTGCTCGCCAGTGTGAGTGGAGTCCTCAGGTCACCGGCATGTACACAAGTACCAGACAAGGAGGACCAAGTCCCTCTGCTGGTGGCCTCCTAAAAGGCAAGGCTTGAGTTTTGGCTGATGAGCAGTTCTCTCCGTTACCAATCCCTGCCAACCAGCACTACCATGGCTGAATTGATCTACCGTTTTCCTGAGTAAACTGTAACTGGCTACAGTTTCGGTAACATGGAAAAGAACTCAGCTACTACAGCCAACTGCAATACTTCAGGAACCCCCTCCATCCCTGGGCTCCTCACTCCTAGTGCATCTGATTGAGGAATCTGATAACTTGCTGCAGTCTGGTCTGTTAGCCTCATTTGCAAAGAAAGGTGCCAGGGACTCTATTACACTCACTAAACCAGAGGGCACACGCTGGCTTAGGACACCCAGAGCCTACTTGGAAAGGGCCCTGTTTCATGCTCTAGCTCTTGGATGGCTATTGCCTGGCTGATCAGTAAAGCAAGTATGAAGGAAGTACATAGGAAAAGGAAAGGGAGGGAAGAGGCTTTTGGACAGTAACATTTCCAAAAAAATATAGTGTTTTATGCAACAGAGAATCAAGTTTCACTGTGTATACTACAAATGGTCAAACATTTTCAAGAGCATGACAAAATAAAAACACACAAATTTACGTCTGATGTTCACCTTGCCCACTATTTTTTTTTCCTATCTTAAAACAGTGCAAACAGGTAACTTATGCTTTTAAAACACCACGACCCCTTCCCCACCCCCCAAAGTCCCTTTCCTCCTAGTATCTGGGGGAAAATCTGCAATTCTGCAAATGTTACTGCGCTAGAGGTTGCAAGCAGCGGAGAACTGGCTGAACTTGGCAAAAGGCAAGGACTGGTCAAAGCTTCCCCTTTCTCCTCCTTAAACATCTAAGTGCTTTCCAGTCTGTCCCTTGGTTGGCCTTGTTCTCCTGCCAGAGGGAAGGGGGTTCATCATGCCCTTCTTGCATATCCTTGGGGTTGCTTCCATCCCTGTTTGATGTCTCCCTCATGTCTGGAAGCTATATAACTAGTTACAGGATGGTAGTGATTAACCCACTTATCTGCTAGATCTCTAGTAAAGCATAATTCTAAGCTAAGAGCAGTTCAGCCCCTGAGGAGTCACACATTTGAGGAAAAGCTGCTATCGATGACTTCTATTGTCTAGATTTCCACTAGCTCCCCTCAGACTAAAAGTTGTGCCCCAGTCCACTTCTTTCTCAAAGAAAAAAAAATGTTGGCTCAATTCAGACTGTGGCTGTTGAAGGATGATGGTGATAGTAGGTTTTGTTAAACCTGAGAGCCTGACAAATGGTGAATCACAATGGCTGATCTGAGTTAATGGAAATTGAACTAGGTGACATGAGGAATTCTGGAAAATGCCTATGGGCAGCTCTCTGGGCTCTAAGAGGGACATGGAGATAAAGGTGTTCACTAGAGGCCTCCTTTAAGGAGCCCAGCTTCCAAGAGTACAGAAAGTCCAGGTCATGAACTATAGTAAAGCTGAAAAAGAATCATGCATGTACTGTGATTTAGCATCAGTAAGTTTTCTGGAATTATCAGCCAGCATCCTCTAACAAACTCACGAAATGCCAGACTCCTCTGACTCTCTTTTTTAATACAGTGAGAACCAGAGTCAGGAACAGACAAGCAGTGCTGCTTCGAGCAACCTGCCTCTGGTGAAGTTGACCGTACGGAGTCTCAAAGTTCAAAAGGTGACGGGGAGGTTGATACTGTGAAATCCAGATGCTTGCAAGAGCCCCAATTCTCAGTGTTGACACTGAAAACCAAAGACCCTTTCATAAAAAGCAGAACTCCATTTATTCTTTCTTAGAAAAGGGAGCTGGAGGAAGCGGTGTTAAACACCATCCCTGGAAATGCAGCAGAAACCACTGGAAAGCACAGAGCTTGCCTTTGGAGGCCTCAGCCAGAACCAGCTGAACTGAGATGCACTCAAGGTGCCTCAAGCTCAAGATTCTGCCTCTCTTAAAAGGTCTGTGGGAGCCGCCTTCTCTACCTTTCCCATTATCCTTACCTCTTTCTAGGAAAAAAGAAGAGAAAAACTCTTAAACTCATTCTCCTATTCTCCCCTGCTATGGATAAAACCATTTAGAATTTGGCCTAGTCTCCACTGAATACGTGGCTTGCCATCTTTTGGGAATGGCCCCTTTGTGATCATGACCCCAAACTTCTGTTTTTTTAGTCAGCTAAAGTTCTCCCTCAAAGCAAAAGCAAAAGCAAAATCCTCCCTGCCCCCATTCCCTAGAACTGTGAAAGCCCGCATCCCATTCCCCGCTCCTCTAACTAAAATATTTATATACATACAACAAAAATTGTCTTAACAGCAACAAACCAAACTTTGGCTTGGGGTGGGGGGACCCTTAAAAATGGCCAGTGGACTGGGCAGTTGGTGTCCCCTTATTCTCTGTCTTCCTCCCCAGAGTCAGTAATAATTGCATCGAGGCCTCTAGCTTCCTTGACATCGCCCCTAGTTTCAGGCACAGCCTCTCTCCCAGTTACGAGGCGAGACAGGATTCTGAAGGGGGAAAGGATATGTATTCTACACAACAGGTCAACGCCCTCTCAGATATATCACTCTGCTTACAAAGAATGCTTGATGCTGTCATAGGTCAGTCATTTTAATTCAGGGACATGAGTCAGTTATCAGTCAAGAACATGTGTGGAGGCAGGAGTTAAAAACAAACCCAAAACAAACCCATAACCAGAAGCTCCATGTCTCTGAATTACTCCCTTTAGCAGCTGTCCCTTGGGTGAAAGGTCACCCTAGTACCAATGTGACTAGACCAGGGAGCCAAAAAGACCGTGCTTTTCTATTTCCTAATGCCTTCATTTGGGAAATGCTGTAGGACACTTGCTTTTATCAGTTCTATCTAACAGCTAGAAGAGAAACACTCCCTCCTACCTTGATAACATAGAAAATTACAGCCAGATGGCAACGGCAGTGACTCACTGCGCGACTCTTTCTGGTGATATAGAAGACCCTTGCCATCGCAGACCCTCCTTCCAATATGGGAGGGCAGCAATCTCAGGGCCTCTGCATTTTATGTCCTGTAGTGTTAATGTGTACAAAGTGGTCCGGGTGCTCAGCGGGGTGTTTTTGGAGGACAGTGAGAAGCTCAGCGGGATAGCCACAGGCTCAAGACTGTGGATAGAGAAGTGACTCATAAAGGCTCTGGAAGATGAAAATTCCTATGGCTTTGGAGCAAGTACAAAGTGCCTCTGCCTGCCCTTCCATGTCCTCATCACCAAAACTTCCAGGGACTACTGACCTAGGACCTGGTACTCTATCTTTCCCCAGCAGATTCTTTATTCTATTTTTTAAACTTTGTACTTTCTGAGGCAAGAAAAAAGTAAGAAATACCAGATCTTCTAATATTCCTTTTCCCTTCCTCACCCTCTTTAATGGCTGTCAACAATTTGTACTTCTAATCCTCAAGACATCTGGGGGAAATCTGGTCACTGGCTTATTCACTTTTCTGTCCCTGGGTCCTAAATTCCTGAATCTTATGGACATGAGAGCAGGGTGTTAATAAAAGAATACATGAGCTAAGCTGTGGTTCAATTAAAGGAGAAGAAGCCTAGAAGGAATGCTAGGTTACAGGAACAAAAAGAAATGATCTTTTTCATACTCCAGAGTTCATTCTGAGATCGGTTTCCTAATGAGGTGTTTATTATCCACTGTCTGAGAGCACGTTTGGAAATATCAATACTATAATTCCAAAAACTATGCCAGCTGTCTCAGGCTGTGCGTGTAAGATGATTGTAAAAAGAACGGAGAAGACAGGAGGGAAGAGGAGAGGAAAGCGTCTTTTTAATTCTCCTGCTTTGTAAGCACAAATTCCTATCTATCAGCATGTGGATTCCAGCCACAGCCAACCAGAATTGCCTGTCAAAGACCAGAAACTCAGAAGACTAGAAGAATATCCTGTTGCAGAAAGATCTCTTCCACTTCTGCTTGTCCCCCAGTCATTCAGCACCAGATACACTTTGGTAATTCTGTCTGCTGATTTCTGATCAGATGCATTTATCGGCTCCTAATGTCTCTCCTTCCTCCTTGACTGCCTCTTCCGTGATTGATAGAATAAGCTAAGCACGGACATACAGACATGGAAATGCATTATTATTTTTTTTTTTACCACAGTTTAAAAAAAAAAAGAAAAAAATGCACAATCTTTGGAACAAAAGAATTAAAGGCAGAAATTTAAAGGAAAAATACATATTCAAAGAACATAGTGAGGTATAAAAAAGTATTCTTTCTTTTTTTGTGTTTTTTTTTGTTTGTTTGTTTGTTTTTCCTCTTCATCTTGCTATAGAGTTCCTCTACTAGTAAATATTGCAATAGCCAGGCCTCATGAACTGGGGGGCTGTCCCATTTGCAGGGGTCTCACGTCACTTCAGTAGGGGGCAAATCGGCTGTAGCCACCTCGGTATAAACTCGCCTGCAGTAATTAAAGAGATAAAAATAATTAAAAGGTTGATGAGAGAAGCATTAACAGTGAAGAAAAATGTCCAGAGAGGGATCTAGAAACAGCCTGCTTCGAAGCCTCAAAGCAACTGATCAAGCATTGCCTTGTGCAGTGAAGTCAGGAAACCAACTTCTGCTTCTAAGGTGCTCAGACCAGAGCCCAACACATTTATTGCTGACCTGATATTCTCAAGGAGAGTATGACGACATTTTATTTCATTATTTACATGAATTAGCACAGAAGGGAAACAATACACAGTTGAAAACAAGTTCTGCAAAGAGTTTGATTTTTAAAAGCACAGGTTTTTGTTTACCTTGATACAGCCTTATAATCCTGGTGGAAAACAGATCACCAGTTTCTCCTTCTCACATATGACCCATCGGCAGTGCACGTTACTTCTGACACGATCCCTGCCATGTGTGGTCACAGCCCATGTTTGAGATGGTGCCACATCTAAACCTGAGCCAGTCTTTAATAAAGTCTGTTTCCTCTATCATCTACGAAGCACACCAACTAGGCTGTTTCTTGACATATTCACATTTACATATCTAGCTGGGGTTTTAACTAGGCTTTATTCCTTTATGTTTATCAAATGACTTTATCTAATGGCTTATCTCTTTCAATTAGAAGTTTCCCAGGAATGCATCTTTCTCAGGTCATTCTTTTAGCATAGGACTTATATCATTTTAGGACGAAATACAACCTCAGGCACTTCTACCACTGCCGTTATATTGTAATGCTCTACTTCATTTATAAACATATATTCCCTCAGGGCCCCCTATTACTTCCTTCCACAAATCTTCATCAGTAGAAATTTGGTGTGAGAAGTAGCTTTCTCATATTCCTTTAGGTCTTACATTTTACATTTCATTCTGTCTCCTTTTCAAACAACTCTACCCATGTCCAGAGGTAGTTGCCCAGTTGCATTTTGGATTAGAGAGAAAGCCCTGGCAGAGGTGTCACTGTGGAATGGCCTGTCTTTGTTGCAGCCTGTGAGTCCTAATCACTGAAACTGGAGGCATCCAAGCCAACACAATAATACTGCAGTGAGGTGGTTGGTCAGAAGAAATTATGCTAGTTCTATGGACTTCTTCGATACTTCTATCAACAACACCATATTTTGCCACAATTGTTATCAATAATCAATAATAAAATATCCTATAAAGCATTCACTTAGGAATTTCTAGTACTATCTACCAGAAGGCTTAGGAAGAGCAGAGACATCCTTTAGATTTGCATTTGAAACTTAAGTTTTTGAAAAGCTTACTGTGAATACTACAGCCTTATGCTCCATGCTCCTTTGCCAACACCTATCAATGAAACTATGCCACAGGTATGCACTCAACATTTGAACCAATAGAAAACATTCACCAGTTCCCCTATTTCTCTCGCAAATCATGCCACTACTCGGGGCATATTATCAATGATCATTCCTTTCTGCTGCCCTTAACTAGGCCATGTGGCTCACATTATAATAACACACAAATAAAGAGGGTGACATGAAACTTCCAGGTAGATCTATGTGGCTTTAATACCTTGATGGTGGATGAAAGGCTGAATTTACTACCTCCCTAGATCTTCTGTAGTCTACGGGTAAAAGAAGGAATGAAATGGTTTTATAAAGCAATGGTATATTATATACTTACCACAGCGCCAACTCCATAGCTAGCGGCAGGGGCAAGGGCATGGTAGGGGTCGGCTGTGTACACCCTGCCATAACTGGAAAGAAGAAACACAATCAGACAGATAAAGAAAAGTGTATGATCTAAAAAAATTAAAGGGATTACTGTGCTTTAAGACTTGTGAGTCACTTGGTCTTGGATTATCATAAGGAAACTGGAATTACAAGGAATAGGAAAAAACCTTTCTATTTCTACTCCCAAATGCAATAACTGAAAAAAATCTGAAGTACTTCCATAAAATGGAAAAGAAAGGAGTTGGAGATGAGGAAGAGAGGGACTGGAGTCAAAGTCAAAGAAGAGATGAGAACAAGAAAGAGGGAGTGGAGGACAGAGTCGGTGCCTTGTGCTTTAGGCATGACAGAGGCCATCAAGAGGTCTGCAGAAAGCCCAGGCTGGCAAGATGCCCGATGTGCTAAGAGCTGCTGTGGAAATGGTGAAGGGAGGAAAATGGGTGACATTTTGGGATGGAACAGCTCTCATGCATCCCAAAGCTCACCACTGTCTCTGTACATACCCGTCACTGTAAGCGGCTGCAGCGGCTGCAGCAGCGGTGGCTGCGGTTGCAGTAGCAGGCTGTGCATATCTGTAGGCTGCATATCCACCCTACAGGAGAGAAGAGAACTGACTTTACAGATACCTCTCCCCCCAGGTGTACAGAAAAACACACACCCGCCCACACACAGACGTACACACATGTAGACACAGGGACTGACACAAACATAGACACACACATGGGAAGAAAATGTTTCAAACTGCATCAGTCTGCATGTTATTATTCCTCCAATAAAAAATTAAGCCCTACGATATGCAAGGATTTGCTTTCCAATTTGTGATAGTATTAAAAGTAAAGTTTGGTAGTACCTGTTAAATACAAGGAATGAAGATATGATTTTGAATCTGTCTTACTTCACAGTCTTTGTTGGAACTTTCAAAAGCGAAAATATTTACAGCAAGTTGGGAGCACTCTGACAAGAAATATAAATTATAAAGTTAAAATATATGAAATCTGTATGTGTTGACTTCAGATTCTCTAACGTGTTCTTGGATTGATTCATTAATAAGAGACTACAGCATGTAACAGAAACCTCTGCTCCATCCGGCCTAGCATGTTTGCCAAGAAGCTAAGATAATCAGGTAATATTTAGAAGGAAAAACAATGTAGATCAGGGGTCAGCAAACTCTGGCCTGTGAGCCAATGCAGCTTGCCACCTGTTTTTGAAAGTACTTGTGACAGAGACCAATGTCCTACAAAGCCAAAAATATTTACCACTTGGCCCTTTACGGAAAGTTTGCCAACTCAGATCTACATTTCATACTTGAGCAAATCAATTACAAATTTCTGAGGATTCTTTGGCTGGATTCAAATAGATCAGGAACCCTGCTTCTAGCACTTAACTGCATTTTCCTTCCCTAAAAGGTTTTGAGATTCTTACATATTAATCTTACAGTAGACTCTGAGCTTTTCTTCCAATAGTCCAAATATCCTCTCAGTCCTAAAGAATTTCAAACCATCACATCCTTCTATTTCAACTCAGTTTAGATAACTCAAATATACAAAAGGTTTTCACTATCAGGGTGAATCATGCACTCTTTCAGAAAGCATTTCAAGAGACAATCACAACAACAAATGCTTGCCACATGAGACAGGATATTTTTAAAAGTGGCAAACTCTACTTTTTATTATTTATGAAATAGAATTCATCTATTTTACCTAAACGTAATTCAGATGCAAATTTTTATTATTGGCCTTTCACTATCAAAAACAACTATGTTCAACTGGCCCAACTGAACATCATTTCAGTAGTGAACAATAGCATAAACATTTTATTTCTGTGGATAAAATGTGCTCATTTCTCATGGATATCTGAAGGTTTCTGCCCTGTGCTTTCTACTTCCTATTTTTTCAAATGTTCGATTTTTCTAAATCTACAAAAGAAATTTCAAATTTACTTCTGTATCATTTCTTGGGATTGAGAACAACTATTTTCTAAGGGGACCCCTGTTCTTCTTAACCATCTTGCATGGCAAGTCCTAGCTTGCTTCTTTTATTTGTTACCCCTTATTTTAGAAATACCTATAATTTCTTATGAGCTTCTAAAGCCTTTTGCTTCTTCCTTATATAATTTATGCTTTCTCTAAATGAAGAAACTGCATTGTGAGGGAAATTTATTCCTGCTCTTCAAGTTTATGCTGCTTGAAGTCAGGGTAGTTTCAAATGTACTTAAAAAAATCCCTGACTGGCTTTCAGTGGTTATACATTATTCCTCCTTTGTTTTTCAAATGAGTGACTTAGAAAGTAAACATTTCCTTCTTAATTACGAATTCTTCCAGAGATATATGAAGACTCTAATTAATATTACCAAACACTGACAATGAAATGGTAATGAATGGGAACATGGCAGGAAGCACCCTTGGGGGCCGTTTCTGATCAACATGGTTCCTTGGAATTCTAGCCAGGATCTGGGCAAAGCTGTAAATCCTGGCCACAACATAATTAAACTAACTAAAGTATTTCTTTACCTTTTTTTTTTTTAAGCATTTGTTAAACAAAGCAAATGTTAATTACAGTTGGAATTTTAACACTAAAATGAACCCTAGTAATTTTTCATTATAACTAGAGATGGTTCCATTAGTTTAGAATTTGTTTGCTAGTGTAAAGTTACAGCAGGGCTATTTAGTAAAACTTCTTTGCAAACAAGGGTAATTCAGCATTTTACTCTTTAGTATTACTCCAACCATCAAAGTAACATTAAAAAAATTTTAAAGTTAAGGCAACAAAAGCAGTTAAAGCCCAATTCATGTTTACCTAGGTAAAAAAATTAAAAACTGAAGTCTTATGCCATACGGCAGAGGTATAAATTCTTGCAAAGGGATACTGAGGTTCAAAAGTACTCAACCAAGGGTAGGTTTCACACCTGACTCTCAGGAAGACTGAGTGAGGTACTGGAGGTACGATCTCTGAGTATTCTATCAAATCATGGCTTTAAGCTGTATTCTTAAAAAACAGGTTCTAAGTGAGGTTGCTGACAGAACCAATTTCCCCTCATTTTCCTAGGCCTACAGGAAGCCATAGGAACCTTGGTGGTTTAGGAGTAATGTTACTGCTAATCAAAACAATTCAAATGGATCAGACTATGGAAAAGAATCTTCCTTCCAATCCAGAAGGAGATGGAGAGAATCTATCTGTAGCGGTTTCCTTCTTTGATAAGTCAAGTCTGACTTTGAAGTTTAAACATGATGAAGTTCTCTGCTTTTCAAGTGGAAGAAAACAGAACAGGGTTGGCAAATACTTTACTGAAAACAAAAGGCTCAAGAATATCAGCACTAAGAAAAAACACATGAAGAGTTTTTTTTAAAGCAGATGACTTTAACATGATTATTCTCCTGATTACTTTATAATAATGGCATTACAGAGAAACCTTTAAAAGATGAACTATTTTAGGATAGATAGGCAATATCCTACTAAACTAACTTGGTAATTCACTAATGACTACTCCAAAAGTAGAAAAATTAATTGTGTATCATGGATGTATTCCTCTCTCTCTCTCTTACACACACACACGCACACACACACATACACTTACTCGAAAGTATTTTTGCTGCTTTATTCAACAAAACATATCACAAAATGTGAGAAAAAGAAAATTCAGATATATTTATTTCTATTCCAGATTTCAAAGTGCATAGAAATTTCAGGCTGAGAAACCGTTTTTTCAGCTTTCACTCTTACTAGCAAATCTAAAGGCTTTTATAAAACATGAGAACAAAGTGCAGTTTGAAACACCAAGGTTTTCATTACTGTTTCTTAAGTTTTTCAAAAAGAACAAGGGTGGGAAGGAGGTAGAAGAGACAGGGTTCAGGCGTGGGGAGGGATATGGCGCCACATTTATTAATCACATTAAAAACTAAGCATGCCAACATCTGGAGCTAAACAACCAGCAAAATCACCACGTTCAGACTCGTATTGGCTAACTCTATCTATCCCAGCATTCTCTTGGGACAGCGGTTTGCCCTAGGCTCTACCACAAGCTCGGTGAAGTACACAGCCTCAATTACTAGAGCGTGCAGCCACAACGACCTGGTATTACGGAAACAGTCAGTCACCACTTGAGTTAACATTCCATACCCTAACGACTGGCCCCTCCCCAGCCCAAAGAAATAGTCAATCTTGCCCACCCTAGCCCTGGCCCACACCACAATGTTAATAATTATAACAAGCAGTAACCCATCTGTTATATCAGAGAAGGGAACAGAGACTCCACTGAGAGATTTAGAGTGAGATGTTAACATTTCTTCAGCTGACTGCACAAACAAACAAACAAAAAAAGAGGAGAAATAATTCATTTGGAGATATGAAGTCATGAAATAGCTGATGTGTATTGCTTTTAACCATGCACTGATGCAAAACTGAAGCAACCATTAATAATAAAAATTAAAAAGGACATATGTATTTACACACAATCAGACCTGTTTGATCTGAAGCAGTTTGCAGATTCTATCTGTGTGTGATTTGAAATAAAACAAAAAATGGGGATTAGCATGGCCACAGCACACCCTAATGTAGGAGGGCACACACGGACGGCTTTTTGGAACTCTGATAGCTGGATAAATTTGGCTTGGCTAAGCTTGATTCAGATACACACATGCCCCTTTAAAAAGAATTATTCTTATTCCTTTGCAATTCATTCTGAATGATACCTGGTGTCCCCAGTGGGGCTGCCCAGTGCTTCATCGCTCCCCTATTCAACCTGCCTGACACTGGCAATATAATTCAGTCCTGACCCACAGCACTCACATGTATGCTCGCCCTCTGTCAACAACCGTATATTCTAATCCACAGCATTCTGCTAAAATATTTCCTGTGTTTAGGAATTTTACTTTTTCACATATCTGTAACCTATCTCTGACTTCAAGTTCCAGCTTCTTCAAAGGAAAATGCCTTTGAAAAGTTGGCTTTAAGATCCTTTCCAGTGTTTTCTGCAGTTGTTAAAGTCTCAGTTTTTCATGGCTCAATGTCATCTCCTAGGGCTTTTCTACTCTGCTCTGAGCCAATTTTATCATCAAATTAACTTTATGATGTTGCCACGTTGACCACATGATCTTTCGGCACAGTTCTGTAGCTGGGTTTTAAACTAGAGCAAAATACAATAGAATATAATCCCTCCTATATCTGACCTTTATCTGCATATTTATTAGTTTAATCTCACACTGGCAGACTTTTGCCTTGTCTTGATTTTAACCTAGCTTTTAATTTTATTATATTTTTGTTTTAGGTTTACATTAAAACAGGACTTTGGTGAGCATGTGATGTCAAGACACCTTCTTTCTACCCGGAAGACAATGACATTATGTGACACTGAGGAGGAGAGTGTGTATTTCAAGACCAGCAGACAAAATGAAAGCTTGTTACCTACATGTAGTGTATAGATCAATAGAGCAGAGGGTTGGGGGATGGCGGCAGGGGGTGGGTAAGGAATGGCAGGTGTGATGCTGAAAATCACTACAGCAGAGCAGAGATCTATTCCAACTAGCGTGGGTTTAATGCTGGGCCTCCAGGAATCACTTTATTTATCCTTGGATGAATCTAACTCCCTCTTTTTCCTCACCACCTCCCCACCCCTGCTAAGAACCATGGTTCTAGGAGATATTATAGAGTTCTTTTGTGGCAAAATGGCATCACTGATTAAATGTGAGTAACACACAAACTTACAATAATGGTGATACCGTCACTGCTTTTGATTGAGCTCTGTCTCCTTTGAAAAGTACTTATGAAAAAAATTTTAAAGTATTTAAATTTTATCTTATTATTGTTTAAAATTGGGGTTAAGGGAAAAAATTGCTATGATCAACCTGATGTCTTCCACCTATTATTTCTATGGTAGATGAGAGACGATTTTCAATAATCAAACCTTTCAAACATTATTATTCCACATCTCCCCAAATTAGTTCATTTCCAAAATCTTGCTGGGTAGCCACATAAATAAACTGGATTGTGAAAAGCCATCGACTATTTTCTTTCTCCTAGCATCCAGCTATCAGCAATCCTTCTAACAAGTATGCTATTATCCAAATGAACTCACTGATCTTCTTAGGTGAAAGGAGAAGAGGCCAAGGGAAATGCATGTCTCAATGTTTGAGTCCCATATGTCTAGATTTTTAAGGCAACTTCAAACTTATGTAGCAGCACAGTCCAATTACAACTGGTATCTCACTACAGGGCCCAATGTGGGATTCAGAAATCCTATTTGTACAGTTCTACTTCCTCTTTTTTCTCTTTTCTAAATTTATAGTAGTAAGAAAATGTCCCCAACTGCTAAGATCTAAATATAAAAAAACAGTTTAAATACCACAGGTACATGTGACTGACAGATTAAAAGAGGTGGCAGTGATGGGACAGTGCATATTACACACCTGGCTGGGATATGTGTCAAGAGGACAGGAGCACTTAATTTTAGAGGAAGTGCCATTATGTACGGAATGTGACTGTGGGCACTGCTGAGGTAGCAGGGCTTAGATCACACGCTCACAAGTCTTGATTGTCCAAAAAAGCCTCTGTTCCCATCTCTAACGTGGAGCTGGAATGGTTAGTATAATTCAATTTTTTCACTGCAATCCACAATCTGATTGATTGGCAGGTCACACTGGCACTCCTACCTGAGGTATTTTAGCGCTAATGATTGGTTCCTGTAAGACTATTCTATAACAGAACACAGGAAGAGCAGTTCAAAAAACACAGCTGTGGAAGGAAAACAATCATACAAAAAGCCCACTAAGGGGCCCACCAGCCTTTTCTTTCCTTTGGATGCAAGCATGCTTTTCACAGGAGGTGATTTAGGAGCAGTTTGTTAACCCATTTAAAAAGTGAATTAGGGCGAACTATGCCTTTTCTACTGGCCAAAAAAGAAGAGGGAGGGCTGGATACATAATCTAGCTGCCACACTCCCAAATCCTATCACGGTAGGTCTTTTTACAAACTAGGAACAGAATTGCTAGATCAGTTCTCCAGAGAGGAATGTGCCATAAAAGAAACAGAAAGTAAATGGCTAGCAGGAATCACTGTCTAAGAATGGGACTGTGAAAGGGATTACAAAAACCTTGCACAATTAATAGCCTAAATTCATTTAACTTAAGCATAACCAGCAATTTAAAATCTTTTCCCTTGTGTCTTCTCTTCAAGCTCCGATTCGGTGCACTTTTCATACTAAACTCTCTATTCCTTCTATTTCTAATATGCCTTTCGGAGGAAATAAGAACTAAATGTATGCTGACAGATTTCCACAGATGGGAAATGTATGGAGAGAAGCAGAACAAACTCAAGGCAAAAATGATAGTTTTTTGTTGTCTGTGTGTTTTTGAAGAAGTATCCTTTGCTCCCTCACATGTGGAATACAGAACACACAGTTTTAAAAGCAACAGTTGTATTAGGCCTAACTCAGTAGTTACCTCATAAAGTATTCTTGCTTTTCATGTAGGGGCATGGATATTATTTCAGCACTAGTGACCAACCTTTTTTTCTCTAAGTAACTCTGCTTTAAGATAAGAACTAAGAAATAATAACATTACTATTAATTACTTTCATTAACAAGGGGCCACTGGTCAAAAAAAATTATTTCAGCAAGATCACTGAATTACTTGTGTTTAGCTCAGCAAGGTAATCCAGTTAGTAGATTAAAAAAAAAAAACCAAGAGTATTTTATTAACAGGAACAGAAAAATCATCTGTCTCAATAAAATCTTACATTGTAAAGTAAGGAAGTAAGATAACTATTAAAAAATTGGGTTGGTTGACTTAACAAGTTTGAAGTAGACAAGTCTTTTTTTTTTTTTTTTTTTTTTTTTTTTTGAGACGAAGTCTAGCTCTGTCAGCCAGGCTGGAGTGCAGTGGTGCAATCTCGGCTCACTGCAACCTCTGCCTCCAGGGTTCAAGTGATTCTCCTGCCTTGGCCTCCCAAGTAGCTGAAACTACAAGCGTGTGCCACCACGCCTGGCTAATTTTTGTATTTTTAGTAGAGATGGGGTTTCGCCATCTTGGCCAGGCTGGTCTCGTACTCCTGACTTCAAGTGATCCCCCTGCCTCGGCCTCCCAAAGTGCTGCGATTACACACGTGAGCGATGATGCCTGGCCAAAGTAGGCAAGTCTTTTTTTTTTTTTGAGACGGAGTCTCACTCTGTCACCCAGGCTGGACTGTAGTGGCACGATCTCAGCTCACTGTAAGCTCTGCCTCCCAGGTTCATGCCATTCTCCTACATCAGCCTCCCGAGTAGCTGGGACTACAGGCGCCCGCCACCACGCCTGGCTAATTTTTTGTATTTTTAGTAGAGACAGGGTTTCACCATGTTAGCCAGGATGGTCTCCATCTCCTGACCTCATGATCTGCCCGCCTCGGCCTCCCAAAGTGCTGGGATTACAGGCCTGAGCCACTGTGCCCGGCCCAAAGTAGGCAAGTCTTAATAAGACATAAATAGGTTGTATTTAAGAAAAATAAATCCTCAAATAAGAAACACATTAGAGAAAAAAACTTGATTTAAGAAATAACTCAAATGGAAAATCTTGTTCTAATAGATCAGATTTCAAGAAAACAAGTTAAATAACAAAGATGAGTTTCATGAGAATATGGACACTAATGTATATGGGAGAATGTACATGCTAACATCATATGTAAGTCTGTGTATTTAGAAATATGTAATCTGGTGTAAAAGTAGGAGATTCCCCAGTTCTCAAGCTTCACTGTGAACATAGGAAAAAAGATATCTTTCATTACTTGTTGAAAATATTTTGAGGAAAGAGGTGGATTTTAATTAAAGTACAAAGAGAGGTAATGAAATATGGATTGGTTGGGTTTTATGCCTGACTATTAATAATTTATGTAGTTCTGGGTAAGTCTCTGAGAAATATATCTGTAAGTTAGGAGGTTGGACCAAATCATAGCTGAGGTTCCTTCAAGTAGTTATTAAATTAAGGCATACCTTACAGGCCTATGCTAAGTAGTACAGGTGAGTCACCTGTATTTCGAAGAACTGTATCATCCCATCTCTACTTCCTGCAAAACGCAAAACCTCTGAGTGCATTCTGAAAGTGCATTAACTTTTTTAGGTTGCTTGTGAATCTCTGGTAGACTGTGGAAACAGTTCACTAAAAAGGACCTCTTATTGATTTTGGAAAGTAAGGGTGGAGAAAGTATTTCTAGACAATTTTAACCTATCCCCACAGAATCATTTCATGCTGACAAGTTTTTCTTATAAAAATTTTCCCTTGATGACTTGAGCGACTAAATCAAGCTTGCATTCAGAAAAAGTCCATCTGGAGAGGTCATGATAAAAGACTTCAAAACTCAAAAACTTGTACTTTGTCAATTATATCACTTTGTCCACATTTTAAATAATATGTGACAAACCAATCATGGAACTTTAGTGATAGCTAGACAGTTTAAATAATGGAGTCCATATTACTATGGCTAGTAGAGTCAGCAAATCTATGATAGTCAAATAGCTGTAAGAAGAGTCTGGGTTGCTGATTATGCTACTCATTTCCTCCAATGGCTTTTAAGAACTAAATATCTGGCGTTTTCTCATTACTACACACTCTTTGCTGGCATCGGTTCCTTATTTGGCTATCACAAGGTCATGTTCTCTCAAAGTAGGTAAAATAGGAAAATGTACAGTTCAGAAAGCTTATTAACCTCTAAATCACAGCTCTAATGATCTAAAGAGGGATGTGAAATGAGAAGAAAAGCAGAAAAGGGAAAGAGCTGGTTTAAGGTTAAGCTAGTCCTGTTATTTATGTATGCAAATGACACGACAATAATAAAAGACTTTAAACCTGCTGATCATCTCACAAGTAAATTAATGATCCACAGAACATCTGTGGGTATAGGGAAGGGAAAAGA
The DNA here is from genome assembly GCF_000001405.40 of Homo sapiens. NCBI lineage: Eukaryota > Metazoa > Chordata > Mammalia > Primates > Hominidae > Homo > Homo sapiens. Next base: position 76,843 of record NT_187630.1, read on the forward strand.
ATATGTCCAGTAGACTGACCCTTGCAATGATCAGGAAACCCAAAGGCTTAGTTTTTGCACCCAGGGGCAAGCGCAGTGGCAGAGAAGCATGCTTGCATTCTTAAATATATAAATATATATATATATATATCCACAAGGAAAAAGAAAATAAAAATTAAATAAATTAAAAGGAAAAAAACCAAACCAAACCAAAGAAACAGAAAAAAAAAGGCTGGCTTGTCAGGGGATGGGGTCGAGAAGGCCCCAGTGTGTGTACTTACATAGAGGTCAGCACCGTAAAATCCGTCCTGGTAAACCACACTGCAGAAAATCCACACAAAAACAAAAACAAAAAAAACAAAAGAACAGAAACACATTCCGGTTATTGAGGACGGCAGCATGCACATGCGCTCTACACAGGCAGGTGATGTATGAATACATAACCTGGGCTTGGGGCCTCGGCAAGTTGGTGAGAAAATGTGAAAGTGCACACGAAGGTTACACAGCTCCAGGACATGCGAGGAGAGGGAAAGGTGTGCAAAACTAGAATGCGCAACCTGGATATTTGGTAATTAAAGTAGGATTCACACAATAAAAAGCACTCCTAGAAGAGCCTATTATATCTATCCAAAATCTGCTGGCTTGGAAATAACTTTTTGTATATGGAGTATTTTTAAAAATAAGCTTGCCCTAGGAGGAAGTTTCTTTTTAAAGAGCTTACAAAGTAGGGTAGGGGTGAAGAGGAGTTTAACATGAAAAACTGAACCCAAAGAATTCCACTAGGGCAGGGCCTGTATGCAAAGTATGTTTTTACATTACGTTTAAGTATTTTGTTTTCAGTATTGTAATAATATGTAAATGTTTTTCTGATATCCATACATCACCTGCTTTTTACCCTGCACATTAGACATGCGATAAGATTTGGCTGATCACACAAGCATGCAAAGTATTATTATTCAGCATTTTAAGAACCAATGCAACACCTCAGAAAAACAAGTCAATCAATTCTGACCAAAGTAAACAGAGAAATGTAATTAAAAAAAAAACACAACCAAAAATACCCACAATGCATTGCTTTCACAAGCAGAGATAATGAGCTAAAGGTTAAGGTGATTGGTCCAAGGTCCAAGAATTGAAAGGTGCAGTGGGGATCCCAGATAGTAACAATATAATCCAGAGTGGGAAGGAGTAACTGGAAGATTTTAAGGGTTCTTTTTTGACTATAAGAGTATTCATGGAATTCTGAAAAATACAATTGATAACTGAAGTTCTGGGCTTGACCAAAGATCACCCTGTCTTATTTAAAAGAATACATCTGAGAAGGTAGCTGGTTAAGAATAGAAGGGTTTATTTTCCTGTTTAGATAATGAATTTGTAGCAAACAGACAATGCATGACTTTAAAAAAAAAAAAAAAACAAAACCTAAGCAACACTATATTCTTAAGTATAGATTTCCAACCTTCTGAGGTACCTTTGTGCATACAGACTTATACAGACTTTCCCCAAAACATTATTTTGGGACCAAAGGACATGGAATAGCAGTAGAGATAAAAGATAAAACTTTCTTCTTCATCTCTGTGAAGTCAAGATCAGATTGTTTTAATTTAGATGATCTGTTTATTGGTTATTCAACTAAACAAGCTGGAAATTTTCACCACTACCTTCTCTGTTACAATAAACAAGCTGACAAGTAAAGTCATCAAATCATATTTTTAACTTGAATATGAAATAACTTATTTCTTATAGGTAGGTGGAATGTTTCTTAATTCTATTTCCAATGACATTTGGTTGTATTTACAGGATAGCATGGTCACATTTTGGAATGCCCCAAATATGCTATGCCCTTGTATCACACAAAAGGCAAATCAAACTCATCTCTGATGTTCATTTAGCTAAGTCCCATTCATTTTCATAGTCTCCAGTTGCAGTTAAAGTCTGATATTAGAAAGTAATCTGCCTCTCAGCTGCATTTTAAGGAAAAAAACAACTTGTTCAAAATGAGAAGGCTGATAAAATGGAAAGCACTGAGACCAAGTGGTGATTAATTAAACTTCAAAGATCTTAGTAAGGGGATATAGGCAAAGATTTACAAATAAGCCTTCTATAAAGAAGGGTTGGCATTAAAAACACGAATACATTTTACCCTAAGTCAAATAACTTATTGGGAATATTCATCTACGTTCTAGAAGAATCCCAATATTCCCTGTATCAAATGCCACAAGGAGGCTAGAAACGTAATGATTAATGATGAAATTAGTTTACTAAGCTGAAAAGCAATTCTAGGCCATTCCCATGAAATACTGGACTTATTCCTTGCCATCTTCCATGTAAACAGGTGGTTTAGTTAATAAAAAGAAAACATGGGAAATCAGTGTTCAATGTAATGCACAGAAATTGATATGATTAGACATAAAGATAAAATATCTTTGAGCAAATATATACCTGACACAGACTTGGTAGAGAATGGGTTCTCAAGTTTGGTCAATATACTGAAACGACTACATTGAACAGGACTAAATTCAACCACTTTATAAAGTAATTCAGCAATGTTACAAAATAAGGAAGTCCCATGTTTCTGGTGAGTAGTCTCTCTTTGCAAATATGACAGTAAATTCTCTTGGATTACAACGGAAGACATTTCACAAACAATTTTCCTAGTGTGTAAAACTTCCAAAAGGTTCCTTTTAATGTTTCATTTGAGTATTTCTTGATGAAATAATACTGCATATTCACTTCTTTAAAGAGATGTCAGAGGTTGAAGGTCAAAGGTCAAGTTGAGAGAAAAAAGGATTAAAATAAAAGTAAGTAATGGCATAAGATGGAGATGATGGAATGCATGTGATTTAAATGTCTACAAACTCCAAACAAAAGTTAATTTCTGAAGCAGTTCCCTTCCAGTGTCTTTTGGAGCCTGCCCACTTCAACATACCTTGTCTAATAAAAATGTTTTAACTCTGTGGAATGGAGAACTTCTAATGGTACATCCATTTGGTCTATGAATGAATGAATGAATGAATGCTAAATTAGTACACCTCAAGGCTAAGCCAATTTTGCTGTCAGAAAAGGACATACAAAGGAGGTTCCTTCCCTTTATATTTTAACTAAGTAGCAGCCAACAAGCTTCTCTGCTGCTACTTATTCCTCCGTAAGAATACAAAAAAAAATATGTCATATTGACATTATCTGGCAGAGAAAAGGTGAAGAGAAATGTCACATCTTTGATGAGGAAGTCCTTGGTACAACTGACTCATGAAAGACCACTCTATAAAAATTTGCATTTTAGGCTGACACTGAGAAACCCCTAAAAACAAAACCTGCCATCTTCACTCCTTTTCCCCATTCAGTAGCAAAGGATTTATTTGTTGCTATGGAATCATTCCACTGCATGAGACACCCTCCATAAAAAAATCAAACGGTGAAGGATGCTCAGCTACAGTCGCTGTTTTACCATCATTCAGAAGCCAACTGCAGTTTAATTCTTCCTACTTCTCCCTTTCTCCCTTGATTCAATTGGACTTGGTTCATCTTAGAATTAACCTCTTTTAATCCGTTTCCTACAAAGAAAGCAAATCCATTGTGGGTAACTAGCTCTGCTGCTCACCACCCAGGCAGTGAAACCAAAGGGGAGGACACATGTGACAGCCTCTGCCCCAACACGGGGTGGTGATAAGGAGGTGAACACAGCAGATGCAGGCTTGTACTACAATCTTGAGCTCCTCTTTTGGTTCTCTGCAGTAATGTTAATCCATATTCGTGCGCTTCTGAGTGAACTTCATGCCAACACACTGCTAGTAAACACAAGACGGTTCTGGCTACTGTCTTAAGCCATTACCATGAGGGCTTAAGGTGGCCAAAATGAAGACTTATAATGAATTGACAGTTTGTCACATTCTGATGATGGTATATTTTGTTTTTTGTCATCTAATCTGTTAATTTGCAAATATTCACTGAATGCCTACTCTGTGACACGGCAACATCCCAGAAGTTATGAAAGGGCCATGGTATTCTTTTTTGGTCCAACTGCTTATTTTAGAAACATACTGATTTTGGAATCTAACGCTTACCCTGGATAGGCGGGGATGGCTGTTGGAGGTACCGCTCGGACTGCACCATATACTGTCCGCCCTCTGCCCCTCAAATGGGCTCCTCTGAAAGCGGCTGCCGTGGTGGCTGCAGTAGGGTAAGGGAAGCCAGGAACTAAAGGGAGACCCAAAATATGACAGAAATTTCAACTTGCATTCAATAGAAGGTGCACAGTCACAACTTGCTATGAACCAATTATAGAAAAGATGGAAAGATACGAACCACACCTTTTTGGAAAAGGTGGCATGCATTCAATAAACGTTCTACCCTGGGTCTCTCAGTGGGGAAGAAATGGAAAGAGAGACCCAACATGCAAAAGCAAAAGATTCCATGCCTCATTCATCACAAATCTTGAGTGAGCTTCTCTGTTCCTTCTCAATTTCAGCTTTACAATGCAAGCTGCTGAGAAACAGGTCAAGAAGCTCTGAGAATGACTGCCATAATAAGAGACAGACTTTTAATTACTGTGGGCAGTCTAAATCAGATTGACACAAACTCTTCAACCGGTCAGTTATTAACCTTGCTTCCCAATGTTACTATGTCCACATAATAATTATTACTCAAAAGAACATTCTTTTTATATTTTTACATGGTACCAACCTCTAAGGCACATAATAGTCTTTAGACATTTCATTTCATTAGTCAATTTCATTCTTTTATTTAAAACATTTTAATCCACAAATGTAAGGTGAGGGAAACAACTCCTACCCTGTCCTTTAAAGAGGCAGACAATTTCTAGGGGCCTCATATCCTTTAAAGAGGCAGACAATTTCTAAGAGCCTATTTTAAGTGTGCTGTCCTCTGGAAAGCATGCAGAGACATTGATTCCATGTCCACTGAATCCTGTTTAATTATACCTCTTGCTGGAGTAAAATGGCTCAGGTCAAAATGACTTAGAGAGATCAAGAGAGCTGGGAATAATCAATAATACTGGAAGTACTTCTAAGTGATCCTCTGCTGGAGAACCTGTGGCTGACTCGCAGAGGAAATGTATAATATGCTCTACACATACTTGCTTCTTTTGTTTTCTTTATCGTCAAGTACAGACTAAAATATTCTTCATATGCCCTTACCCCCTCTACCTTTTCCAACTATTTCTGCTTTGTGCAATCTTAATATTTGGTCAGGAAAATTCTAGCACAGGTTAAGCAGGACAGGGCACTGGGATAGTATTTAATATCCCTCTCAAGAAATTTCCATTTCAGTTATGTACTGTACTAGGAAAAAAAAAAACAGTACATGATAGTTCACTCACAACAGTCAAAATCCATGCCAGGCCAACATAGGCTACTTACTGATTAAAGGAATGTAAGTGTTGATACCCCCTCTTCCTGATAGGGGCACTGCTGCATCATTGCCTAGGGACACATCTGCTTGAAAGCTGGATGCTGATTGGATTTTTAAAAAATTTAAAAATGCAAGAAGATTAAAAAGGAGTCACAAATTGAAAAACAGCAGATGCTATTACAATTAAATAGCACAAGTGGAAACATTTACTTAAATACTACCTGCATATAACTCCGGACCATATACAGCTCCAACTACTGGGCTTAATTTCCAACCTGAAACACACAAAATGGAAGGTAAGCATTTAAGACTGTTTGAGGAAAGGGATGATCAGTGCATGTCAAGTTGGCTTCAGCCATCTCTGGGGCTATTTTTGCCTATTATCAACTTCTCTTTGGAATTCCAGCTTGGGGTTTATATGAGAGAGTAACAGTAGTAGAACTAGGACACAGTGAAGAGATAATGAGGGGCTGGGGCTGGGGGGCTTGGCAGGTGTCATGATGTTGGGAGGAGGAAGATGGAGAGGGAATGAGAGGAGAAAAAATAAATAGAAATAAATCCTAGAGTTTGGTAAAGTGTTCTCACAGAATTACCCTGGATGACCTATCCTTCATTTAAAAAAAGAAGGCCGACTATATGTCACTCTGAACCATGCTGTGATGCATTTTCTCAACCCTGTTTATTACTCTAGTTGTTTTAATAAAGGTATCCATGGGCTGAACTCAAATTCAACCTAGATCTTTGACTCCATGTTTGGCTATACAATGCTGGTATTCCAGGTAAACTGAAATCCACTTTTACTCGGATTTACCATTGGGATTTTACTGGGGTTCACCAACTAAAAAAGGAAAGACATGAAATAGTAAAATTCAAGGTACATTCCCAACTTCAGTGCATGTTTTCTGAGGCTTTAATGTGTAATAATCACCTTTAAGTTAATCAGACTTCTTAGCTAAAGAACACCAGAATACTGTGGAACATTAGCTTAAATATTTATAAATATTAAGAGTTTCCAAATAACATTATGTTTAATGTCAACTTTATTTCTTCTTTCCCTTTTTTATATTTATAGGAATATGGCAAGTATTTTTTAAAAAGGAATAATATACGATTGCTCACTGCGAGTGAATAAAAGTAGAATTCCACATGAAAACTTTAATCAATATTAACTGAATTTTACATATAAGCAAAAATACTCTATATTATATATTTTCTGACTCATTTGTCTTTTTATATTAAGACCCTAGCATTGTGCCACACTATTCTATAAATATACGAATGAAAAGAAAAAGGCCAGAATTGGCCTCCTCTTTTTTTTTTTTTTTTTTTTTGAGACAGAGTCTTGCTCTGTCACCCAGGCTGGAGTGCAGTGGCGCAGTTTCGGCTCACCACAACCTCGGCTCCTGGGTTCAAGTGATTCTCATGCCTCAGCCTCCCAAGTAGCTGGGACTACAGGCACGTGCCACCATGCCTGGCTAGTTTTATACTTTTAGTAGAGATGGGGTTTCACCATGTTGGCCAGGCTGGTCTTGAACTCCTAACCTCAGGTGATCCACCCGCCTCAGCCTCCCAGAGTGCTGGGGATTACAGGCTTGAGCCACTGCGTCCAGCCACAATTGGCCTTTTCAAAAGAATTATTGAAATTACCAGATTTAAATGACTGTAAGCAAGACATTATTCAAGTGAAAACCTATTCACTCTGATTCAATCCAATCTCTTATTCATCATTTTATGTGCTCATAAAATGCAATGTCTCTTCAATATTCCACATAAAATTCTGGCAAAATCTAGGTTCAAATCCTACTTGAATTGTAAGAACACAAATATTCTGCAACATCAAATTACACAAATACTGTGCAACATTTCTGCACAAATTAAGAGATTCCAACCAACCTAAATGAGAATGCTGACTGAGAATTCATTAGGAGGAACCCAACAAATTCTTCTTAGGACCTTTAACACAATAGCAGAAGGTTTCTTGCCTACTAAACCTGAATATTAATTTAGAATAATATTTTAAAAAATAACCTTTTTCTTTCCTACCAATGCCACTATTGCCTGAGCATTCCCTTTAAATCCACATAATGGGCAGGCACCGTAGCTCAAGCCTGTAATCCCAGCACTTTGGGAGGCTGAGGCGGAGGGATCACCTGAGTCTAGGAGCTCGAGACCAGCCTGGCCAACATGGCAAAACCTCGTCTCTACTAAAAATACAAAAATTAGCCGGATGTGGTGGCACACACCTGTAATCCCAGCTACTCTGGAGGCTGAGGCACGAGTATCGCTTGAACCCGGGAAGTGGAGGTTGCAGTGAGCTGAGATCGCACCACTGTACTCCAGCCTAGGTGACAGAGAGACTCTGCCTCAAAACAAAAACAAAAATCAATATAATGGATGTATATTGACATGTTGTTAGTAATACTTTGAATATATTTAGTTTTAGAAAATTTACAATGTATTTTCACAGATGCCCTTTGACCTTCACAAAACCCAAAGAGGAAGGTAAAATAGATACCACATCTGCAATCTGAGGTCAATACTATACTTTTCTGGGTCTCATTTCCTAATAATAAGCTGGGAGGGTTGAGTTTCAATAATTTCTTAAAAAATCCTGGTGCCAAAAATCTGTGGTCTCAATTTATAAATATGAAAACAGAATTAGGTTAAAAAACTGGTCCACTGTCACGGAGTAAATAAAGAGTCAAACCTAGAAGGAGAACGTCTGTTTTCTGAATTCCAGTCAGAGGCTCTTTCTGTCACAATATTTCCCTTAGATGTAAAGAAAATTTGACATTCTTTGCCTCTCCTTTCTATTTTGTTTACTTTGAGTTTTTATCAAAATTGTAGAGACTTGTTTTTGTAAGAGCAGTGAAAAGAAAATAAGAGGTAAAGTGGGAGGCAGTGGTATCATACCGATAAAAGGAGTAAGGAAAAATGCAAATTATGCTGATAAATTTGTATCATCTATGTGAAAAGCTGGGCTAAATATATTTATTGAAGACTTTATGGGATATAGTCAATACGGATACATTTCTCCTTGATTTAAGACATTATTAGCACATACAGCCATACTCTAGCAGTGGGTTCAAACTTTTTAAAAAAACAGCAGAGCCAGGCATGGTGGCTCACGCCTGTAATCCCAGCACTTTGGGAGGCCACGGTGGGCGGATCACGAGGTCAGGAGGTTGAGACCATCCTGGCTAACACGGTGAAACCCCATCTCTACTAAAAATACAAAAAATTAGCCAGGTGTGGTGGCGGGCGCCTGTAGTCCCAGCTACTCGGGAGGCTGAGGGCAGGAGAATGGCGTGAACCTGGGAAGCAGAGCTTGCAGTGAGCCTTGATTGCGCCAGTGCACTCCAGCCTGGGTGACAAAGCGAGACTCCGTCTCAAAAAAAAAAAAAAAAAAACTCCAGCAGAAACTCCCCCCTTTATTCTAGATATTAGTAAAAGCTTATGCAGAACCCTAATTGCTCAGACTAAAGTACAGCTGAGACCTCAGAATTCAATCCATTTGGTTTCCTTTTTCTCTCCCAAACTGGCTCTGCAGAACAGTCTGCAAAACCACCACTGGGCTACAGATTAAATTTATATTCCATCTCATTCAGAGACCATGAGTCTAGATTAAATTTGGTAACTGATGTAACAAATTATTCATAGAAAATTTCCTTCTCAATGAGAAAAACTTATAAACCTTACTATATAATATGTAATCATGAAACAGAAAATGATACACACACAACCATACCCATGGCTGTTATCTCTAGGGCTAAGGAGAGCAACAGGTCCAGAATTATAAAAGTGATTAAAATATCCTCCTAATTTATTCCACTTATGCTCAGATGAATGAAAGTCAGAACTAAAAGTAAGAGTCAGTGGGCATCCAGGGGTATTACGGACAAGTCTAACATATTAGAAAGAGCTACAGCAGCTGAAAAAGAAGGTGCTCAGGTGGGATCCAATTTGGGTTAATAGGCAACTAGATAGCATGTTTGCACTGTGTAAAAGATGAACATTACTTAGAACATAACACCTTAATAACTAAAAACTTAGCTCAATTGTAATGACAAAGTTATTCTGTAAAAATAAAATACTCTCCCAGGTAAAGAGACTACTTCAACACAAATCAAACTGTCTTAAGACGGAAATAAAGACATTCTTAGAAGTTTATAAAAACTTCATATATTTACACAAGAATAAACACTCTTTCGAAGATTATAATTTCTTACCATTTGCATATGGTGTGACCATCTTCTTATTGGTCATTACACGTGCTGTAGCATTATTCACCTAAAAATAACAAGGAGAAAAAAGGGCAGGGAAGAAGTGGACCACATTAGGGAACATAAAGTTGCACATCCAATAACAGAGTATTTAGTTTAAAATGTAAATTTCTGAGAGCAGTGATTTAAATAATTAACACAGCAATATAAAATATTAATATATAGTATTTTAATTAAAGTTCTTATCAAATGAGGATAACAAGAGTAAAGTGAGTTTCTTGGTTTCCAAATATCAGTACTCCAAAGAAAATACATTTGCAAGATCTTTGGACATCTTTTTAACAGAGAAATCTCTGCACTAAGGAAAACACAGAAAAAAGTAAATAGGAAACTATATTAGCAATTCACTTTGAAGTCTGTTAATAAAACAGAGGCTTGCCACATGGGTTATGAAATAGATTGATGGAAAGGTGATAAAATAAATCTGATTTCACCTGTCCTAATGTTCAGCATTTTAAATATGTCTGTCAGAGATTTTTACTGTCTGAGGTAAGTAAACAAATATAGAAACCTAAGATTCCCCTGCTGACAGCCTTCAGGACCATTCTGAATTTTCTAGACTACATGGTCTATCAATTTAAGAACAAAGCTTTTAAGAAAGCCTTTAAAGTAGGCACTTAAAAGAATTGAGAAAATAAAGTGTTTATTTATTTTGTTTTATGGTACTCTCCACCCTCATTACAGAACTGCATATTTTAAAGCATTCTCAGTGCTAGAGTAAGTAGGTGTTACAAAGATGCTGCTGCTGAAGAAAAGATGAATGGAACTAAGATGTCAGCATACTGCAGCCCAGTGACAGAACCAGTCTCAAAGCTCTTGCAAGGAGGGTAAAGCTCCACCATAGAACTTGACTTATACTGTGTTGTCAGGTCATAAAACATGCCAATTGAAAAAAGAAGCATAAAATATAAATGTCTTATTTTTGCCTCTTCAAATTTACATTGTGTTCAATTTGTATGGTAATAAATTTTTGTTATGAAAAGACCAATTTTAGGTAGAATTAGAACTAAAAAAAAAACCTCTTCCTATGTCTTTTAAGATTTGTACAGTGATAATCCCCCATATGAGGAAAGAGCTTGAAACTCCATTTACTCTAGCTTCGCCCACCAAATAATATAAACGTTTCACATTTAAAAAGAAAGAATGGGATACAACAATGATGAGACTGAGAGCATGCAGTTAAAAAACACACACACACAAATAAAAGAAAGAAAAAACAATCAATTTTGGAAAGAGGGGAGAAACTGAAAAGCAAGGTTCTCACAGACAAGGATTAGAATGGAGCAAGAGCTGAAACCAGCTGCTGGAGCAGAAAGCAACCAAGCACTTAAAAGGAAAAATGGCCAGAACCAATCAGAAACCACCAGTCAGCAAAAGAGACCAACAGCTGCGTGTAACTGAAGGGATGGGAAAGGAAGAATAGGGAAAGGGACAGGAACAAGGATCCGGAAAAAGAGAGTAAGGTAGGGAAAAAGAAAAGAGAAAGTCAGGAAGGGTGTAACGGGCAAAGAAAGAACAGTCAGAGCTACAAACGGGGGTTTGGGAAACAGGAAAAGTAGGGAAGGATGTAGGGGCAGGAAGTGCATTAATAAAACCAGCCAAACTGGAGTTCAGTAACTCTGAGTAAGATGTGCAAGGGGAAAAAAATCACCATGAAGTCAGTAATCAAACAGCTCAGACCGCTACAAAACAATATGTACATCCAAAATCCAGGCGGCATTACTCAACAGCATTGAAAATAAAAGGGGGAAAGGAAAAGGAAGAGGAACAACAAGTCAAATCACATTTTGTAGTGTTAATGTGAGATGGCAGATGGACTTTTTCTTTCTTATTTAATTGTTTTGTAATTACATTTTTAAAAGCTTCTTCTCTAGTGCTTTTGTTCACTTACCGCCAACGGGCACCATCGCCAGCATTGTGTATAGTTACCATGGAAAGAGTGAGTCAAGTGAAGGGCCCTAAATGCTAAACCATTGGAAAGGAGGGGAAAAAAAGCAAAATATGCAGACATCTTACTCAAAATGGTGGCTTTTACATTTAATACTTTAAAAAATTGGGAAAGGGGAAAGGAGCCAGTTAACCTTCGATGTGTTATCAAAAAGGGCTGGTGAATACCAGGCGGTAGACTTGGTCATAATCACAGTACATTCGCCAGCCAGCCATCATACCCTCTGTTTAAGAATTTTATCCATAAAAATTTAGATACCAAAATTCTTGGTATTAGATATATTTAAAAACTACACGAGTTTTGGATTATTTCCTCCCTCCCCACAATCTCTAGAATCTTCTATTTCGTGCTTATCATGTGCACAAAGAGGCGAACTGGCCTCCCAAGAGAGAGGATATTGGCTGGCCCCTTGATTCATTATAGAACACAGTGTTATAAACTGGATAGTTTTTAGACAATTTAACATTAGTTTTGCTTAGGCCTGATCACAGGAATTCAGAGTATTGCAAACTGAAGCAAAGGAAAAAAATCAAGAGAGCAGAAAGATCAACATTTTGAAGGAAAAACATAAATGAAAAACAAACACACACACACGCACACACACACAGTCAAAATTAAAACCCCCAAACAACCAATAAATGAGGAGGGAGGCAGATAGAAGTGTTACTTTTATACATTTTAGTGCAAGAAGGTGAAGAAGACAGAGATACAAACACACATACATGTGCACACGCACACATAAGACAGGGTTCCAAATGTGAACTAAGTGAGGCAACACGAAAAAAGAGAAATAAAAATATAAACCAGAAATTGAATTATTAAAGACATGCACCTCGATTTTACGGCCCTCTACCACGGTGCCGTGTAATTTCTCCCTGGCCCTGTCTGCATCAGCACTATTCTCGAAAGTTACGAACCCGAATCCCTGCATGCAGCGGGAGAAGGGGGGAAAACATGCACATCGTTATATTGAAATACTGATCTCTTGGTAAATAGAGAAAAAATATCATAGTATGAAACTGACATCAGCAACAACTCAGCAATAATCTCCCAAAGTCACATTTTTGGTCCATGCATATTTGTAAAGGGAAATTAAATCCAATAAAAGAATAAAGAACTGTAATAATAATAATAATTAACAGCAATGTAACAATAATAAAATAAAACATAAAGCATATGAGGCCAGACCAAAATTAAGGTACAGAGTTACTCGGGTCAAACTATTCAACCAAAAATCTGAAGATTTTTTAATGCCCTACCTTTCTCTCTCAATTCATGTTATTAATTTAATATACATGCCCCTTTATGTAATACTAAAAAAGACTTAATTAAATTGACTCTCTGACATCCCAAATCTATTATTTTCCAGTAACTGCTACATGAAATCTGACATTCAGGTTCAACATTGCATAATGAGATTTTTTTTAAAGTAGGTCTAATCATTTTAGCCCCACGTTGCCTGTTGCTTTTATCACTATTAATTCCTTTGGGAACAGGATAACTTAGGGCATAGTCGGTGTACAATTTTCTATGTACTGGGTGTGGGAGAGGAGAGCATTCATGCTCTTCTAAGCAAATAAAAATATCACTAAGCAGTGGTCAATTATAACTTTTCTTCAATGCCCTTTTTAAATGACCAGATTGACACTTAGAGTAAAAATATGTTCAACTGAATTTCAGAAAACTGCTAACCCAAATTTGCCTAAATTATTCATTTATTGATGTTTATACCTGCTATTAAAGGTAGTAGTAACTTTCTATATATAGAGAAAAAAGGAACAGTCAACAGGCAATGGGAATGAGATCTACATTAGTGACATCAGTTGTACACTATTCAGTAGAAAAAGGATATCAGAAAACAGCAATGCAGCTGGTATAATGACTTAGGATTAATTTGTTTGTTCCTTGCAAGATACTATAAAAATGGAGTGGAGCTTTAACTCATTAAGTAGACAAATCAGGAGACCAGGGAGTTGACTACCTTCACTCCGATGTTCACGTACTACCAATTTTAACACCAGGAGCATTTACTATATACTTATATGACTTTCCTAAAACATCATATTCACTTCATTCTAGGTGCTCTGTCCTTATCGTTCTACTCTGCAGCTATAATTTTACAAATAATTTCCATGCTGCTTATATCTGCAAAGTGGTAAAGTCTTAGGATTTTCTACAAAGTCTTCATTTGCCAATAACTTCATTGTCCTGCTAGCGTTTTTTGAATATTCCACTGTAGGATAACCCAGAACCCTTTAATTTTAACTGAAGTTCTGCCTAGCTGCTTAATAACATGAGCACAATTCTCTCTATATAAAACATGTTCTTAACTGACACGGTAAACAATGCGCGTTGCTTAATAAAATTTTATAAAAGCAACTCCATTGTTTTGAAGGATCTGATAACTCAGCATTCTAAGTGATTATGTGGGTGGGTGGTGTTTTGGAGAATTCCAATGGATGATCTCTACCCACAATTTGGACATCACAAATACCCTTGAAAGCAAAATGCTAAGCTGATAGAGATTTTAAAACGTATGTTGCTTGGAATGAAATACTACTGGTAATTTCAGTTAATACTCTCCTAAAGAATGTGTAAGTTTGTTGAAAATATCAACAGGAACATATTTTTATAAATGAAATTTTGATATCAACATTTATAGCCACTTTGACACCACAAGGTATAAAAGGGCACATTAATAATTAGTTATACCATTTGTCATCTACACTAGCACCTGCTGAAGACAAGCTGCCAGTTCTCTAATCCTAGTGAGTCCTCCAATAGGAAAGTCAAACTTTTAAAGAAAGGTCACAGAGTGATGAGTTTTAATATCACACTTTAAGGGCATTTTGGCTGTATTTCAACTGGTCCTTACAGTCATATATTTTATGACTTAGGTTAAATTAATACATTGTAAATTAATAGTTGGATTACTATTAAGTTATATGAAAACTAAGACCTAGGTTTTTGATATTAGCATTATGACTATATCTACACACCCACATACAAATATACATACTAGTTTTTCTTCTTAAATATAACCATGAAGTAAAAAGAATAGACATATTGGTTTCATTTTGAAGGTAAAGAAACTGAGTCGAACTGAGATTAAGTACCCAAGGATATCCAGCTAATGGTGAGAAAATTCTAAGCCTTTTCAAATCTCAGTTCAGTATTCTATTTACTAAACTATATTAGTCCTAAAATCCTTCTATCTTTTTTCAAATCTAATTGCTAAGTATCTTCCATAACCTTCTTTTCTGAAATGTGTTGAAAGAACATTAGTGATACAATAACTGCATCCAAAAGAATGGAAGGTGGTATGATGAGCACTGCAATTTCACAGTCAGCAAATGTCAAAGTTTAACATTCATGTCTGCTTGGATAAGATTTTCTCAATAATGACTAACATTCTGGAACAAAATTTCACTTTCAAATGTTTTAAAAGTGTTTTATAAAGAAAGATGCTTATACACCAAAGGAAATGCGAATCAAGATACCAAAAACATAAAAATAAAGCAATCTTTATAAGCATCTTTTCCCTGGGGTGATAGGAGGAAGAAAGCCTTGTTGATGTTTTGGGACTCTTTAATATGAAACATAAAGGTAAGAAGATTTCTTTCTTTGCTTTGAAGATAAACAGACTTTGCAATAGGCCAAATAATGGCTTCCCAAAGTTGTCCACATCCTAATCCCCAGAGCCAGTGAATATGTTACCTTACACGGCAAAAGGGATTTTGCAGATGCGATTAAGTTAATGATCTTGAGATAGAGAGATTATCCTGGATTATCCAGTTGGGCCCAATGTAATACAGTGTTCCAACGTGGCCACTGTACTGTGCTTATAAGTGAAAAGCGGACACAGGAGAGTCCGAATCAGAGTAAAGCAGCCTGAGAAAGACTTGACTGGCCATTGCTGGCTCTGAAGACAGAAGGGAGCTATAGTCCAAGAAATGTGGGCAGCCTCTAGAAGATAGAAAAGGGGAGAAAACAGATGATCCCTTAGAGCCTCCTGAAGAACCCAACACGTTGATTTTAGCCTTGTGAGAGCCATTTTGGACTTCTGACCTCCAGAGCTGTAAGATAATAAATGTGTGGTTTTAAGCCACCCGACTTGTGGTAATCTGTTCAGAAGTCATAGGGAATTAATACATACCTCTTAGAATTAAAGTCCATGATTAGGAAAGTGAGAGGTATGACTAGAATTTTTGAAGTACTGTTCTTAAATACTTTTCTCTCATGTTTAAACTTTAAACAGGTGATTTTCCATCAACCCAAACATGCTTCCTTATCTATCACATTCACAATTTAGTTTCAGTAACATGAACTCAGATCTTAAAATATTTTTAGAATATACTATTTCTTCAATAAAATTTAGCATTTTAGAAAAGGTGCCAGAAACAGTGCTAAAGATGTTCACAGATTATCCAGGTTTAAAAGTTATCAGTAGAAAAGTCTGCTTACATGAACTCATGTTTTGTCACTTCACTCTTAGAAATTGAATTGACATTAAGTTGGTCATTCTGATCTCTTGCTTTGGAAAAAAAAGTCAGTAAAATTATGTCTAAATCTAAAGTATTTTCCTTAGAACAGCTTCCAAATGATCATACAACCTATCAAACACTGAACCAGTCTACACCGGTATAATATATGTAACAAATAGATTATATAATCTGTAACAAACAGATTTAATCTCAAATTCTGAACAAGAGGAAATATTTCAGCTATGTAAACAGATGGAGAATTTTTGTTATCTAAACTTCTATTCATAAAATCAGATTTTAAAAAAGTAAACTTTAATTTTTAATTAAAAAATGATTTTGACATGTTTGTCTACACTAGCACTGCAGACAGAAATATAATACAAACCACATATATAATTTAAAATTTTCTAATAACCACATTTAAAAAGTAGAAACAGGTGAGATTAATTTTAACAATGTATTTTATTTAACCCAATATAAACACATATTATTAACATTTCAATATGGTATTAATATTAAAACATTATTAGTGAGATGCTTAACATTCTTTTTTTGTGCTAATTCTGAAATCTGGTGTCCATTTTACCCTTACAGGCACACCTCCGTTTAAACTCTCCAAATTTCAAGTGCTAAATGTGACCACTGTGCTGGGCAATGCAGGTCTCTACACTTTATACTCCTCTAAGTTTGCAGTCCTCAGAGCCCTTCTATATTAAACATTTAAACACACCAGTGTTACATTAGTGATTTACCAGGTATCTTAGCTGACTTCTGGAAATTGAAGAATGGTGTATTTATTAGGTGTATGGTTGTAGTTAAAACTTCTACAAAGTGTGACAGCAATTTCACAGCCTGCCTTTACATCATCGAGGACATATAGGAGCCAAGTAACTGTCACCTTTTTAGTCTGGCCTCAGACTGCAATAAATAACTAGCAATAGAATGAACATTGTAAAAATATTATTAAAATTTGTATAATTTTTGAATTTTTCGATCTCAGAAGAATGAGAAAGAAAATTTACCATGTAACTTTTAAGGGAGAAATCAAAAGCAGACAGATCTCCTGGGTATGGCCAGAACACAGAAATTTAAAAATAAATAAAAAAAATATAAAACTAAAGCCCATAATGGTAACAAAAGAAAAAAAAAAAACAAACTAAGCCCTTCAGAAACACATGCACTGTTAATTCTGTTTTAAATATAATAAAAACCATTTCACTTTGACATTACCTATTAAGTTTTACTGAAAGTCAAAAGGCCTACTTACTGTGACTTCCAAAAAAGTATTTTGATAATATTTTGAAAGAAATAAATAATTTCCCTTTGCATGAAATTAAAAGCCATGATAATAGGGAAAACATTACAGCAAATTACTTGTGTCTAAGGAATGGGAATAGAAGTTTTATCTCCCCTAACTACAGCCTAAACTTAAGCCCAACCTAAACCTAGATCCCCATTATTCCAGAAATCTACCTGAGAGAAGTAATGAGAACACATTAAGTAAACATTTGCTAGAATAATTAGAATGTTCCTAGCATAAAGAAAAGATAAATATTTAAGGTGATGGCTATCCCAATTACTCTGATTTGATTATATGAATGTATCAGATTATCACATATACCCTGAAAATATGTACATCTAATATCTATCAATTTTTAAAAAAGAAAAAAAATTGCTAGAAATCTAAATAATTATTGCTGGGCTGTATAATATTTGTAGTCCTTTAGTAGACTTAATAATGAGCACTATCTGAAGAGCTGAACAACTTCAGCATATTCAATATTTTAATACATATCCATTCAATAGAGGATATACCAAAGTATTTTGGCAAAAACTTATAGAAAATGTAAATGTTACAATCTGTGTATTTCTTTATTTAATAAGCTTGATAATTATCACCAAAAATTGTTATGTGGTTGGATGATGGTGAGTAAGATGGTAGAAAGTCTGACCCACAATGGAATAACTTTTGAATAAAACAAGTTCTTAATCACTAAAAGTTTCTAGCAGAGAATGCAAGGTCAAGAATACAGGGGGCTGAACTAGGTGACCATTTTGGGTTATGTTTTAAGGTTCTATATGAGAAAATAAGACTAGAAGGATACATGAGAATATCACTAGTGCACATTTCTCTTTAATAAACTATGTATTTTTTTCTTTATACTTTTCATTAAGCATCATGTTTTCCTTTTCAAAGACTGCTTTTTTAAGATGTTACCCAAAGCATATATAAGGAGAGTAAATAGTTTATCATTCAAACTGGGACATTCTGAGAGAGAAAGGGGTCATTTATTAATAATTATGCTAAGATAACAGGTGTAAATTGAGGCTAGCCTGGATAAGCCAGGAAATATGGTCACTCTAGGCATTATCTTATTATTTGTGTTAATAATCTGTCATTACTGGTGAAATCTGGAGAATTAACAAAGCTACATAAACTCATATAATAATTTTCTAGGTTCTATATGAATAAATTAGTTAATTTTTTGGCAGGAATACCACTTTCCATCATATATCTTAATAGTACATTTTTAAAAGCCTAGTCTATCTCTGTTTCAGTTAATCAAAGAAACTTAGATACAGGTGATTCTATGTTTTTATAAAGGATTAGGGAGTAAAAAGACTAAAATTCACATGAAATAATTTAAATATATATGTATGCACGTGTGTGCACAAATATGATATATATTCATTCTATAATCTAAGTAAGCCAAATCTAGAATATGAAGGCAAAAGAAGGAAAAAAGGAAAAAACTAGTCAACAACTAAGAAAAAACTACTATAGAGTAATTCTACTTTAAAGGCAAGCTGGAAAAAGAAGAATACTGGCAGACAAGGAGGGCATGAGCATGGCAGTGGAACACCGTTTACTTATGTTTTCAAATGGGTATATCCTAAAACCCTGGGTGATGGTCTTATTATACAAAATAAGATATGGTATGGAGTTGCTTTTTGCTTTGGAACAATTTGATTAAACCCTGTTTTACATTAAGTATTGCTATCTTAGAGTTATTTTGTGACTAGTTTTTCCATTACTGCTCTAAAAAAATTCAATAAAGCTAATTTCTGTACAGAAAAGCACTCTGTTTAAAAGTTAGAGGAACTCTTAGCTAAACAATAGGACTATATAAAGCCTCCTTTTCTCTGGTTATTTTCAAAATACGCTGTAATTTTACAGTCAACCCCAAACATATAAAAGGATTAAGAAACTAAACTTAATTCACAAAACAAAAAGTGCTCATTAATTTCTCTTAGGTGGATCCCAGAGGAGGCATCCATGGGTTTGATTCCAAAATAAATCTCTATTAGGAGCCTCAGAACAGTTCCAAGGGCACCCATTCCAGCAAATAACTTTAGGTAGCAGTTAAGAAAGCTTCAAAGGACAAAAACAAGGTTTTGTATCAGTCCTTGAAGGCAGATTCAGGGCAATTCTGAATTCTATGCTTTGTTTTTAAAACATTTACCAATTAGTACACAGTCTGTGCACCCTTTAGCAGCCCAAAGAAAAATGGGGCAGTGAGGACACAGCATCAAGCTGACAGAAGCAGCCTATGCTTTTAGATTTCTCAAAGAGAAAGCTCATGTCATTACTTTCAAATGAGTTACATGAGAGAAGTAATTGGATCAGGTAAATTTAAAAAAATGTGGGGCCAGGATGCAGTGGCTCACACCTGTAATCCCAGCACTGTGGGAAGCCAAGGCAGGCAGATCACTTGAGACCAGGAGTTTGAGACCAGCCTGGCCAACATGGTGAAACTCTGTCTGTACTAAAAATACCAAAAATTAGCTAGGGGTGGTAGTGTGCGCCTGTTATCCCAGCTACTCGGGAAGCTGAGGCACAAGAATTGCTTGAACCCAGGAGGCGGAGGTTGCAGTGAGTCAAGACTGTGCCAATGCAACTTTAGCCTGGGCAACAGAGCGAGAATCTGCCTCAAAAAAAAAAAAAAAAAAAAGAAAAGAAAAGAAAAGAAAAAGAATTGGTAGCAGGCAAATCCTTAAAGTCAATGAAAGAAGCCTTAAGAAAGATCAATTTCCTTTGCTTCACAATAATTCAAACAAATTATTTTCTTGGTAAGGAGTAAGTCCTCAATGCCTGATGAAACTACATTGGCCTTCTAGTTGTTAGATTCTAGTTAAGAATATTTTAAGTACATACACTTAACAACTAAAAATATTTAAAACTACTTCAGATAGTAGTTTACAGAGTGGCCAAAAATCTCCACATATTTATTTTACATTCATGTGCTTCTTATCTCTAAACCACTGTCATTTTCCCACCTTGTAGCTAAAAAAGATCACATAAAATAAACACAAACAATGCAACAAAGGAACAGAAATCCATCGTGAGAAAAATTATAAGCATAAATAGTTTACTGGTTGCAGTCTGAATAGACTTCACTTTAAAAAATACTTACCAAGTGCTGGAGAAAGTTCTGTATAGGCATATTAATCATTTTTGTTTTAACTGAAAACTGGAAGCTTAGAGTATAATTACCCCTTTAATAGTTAACAAATAATTGTTATAGTCAGGATTAAACACTTTTAGTGTTGATACATTCTACAAAGGAAGGGAATAATAATAAGTAGCATTAGAACAGCACATACATTTTTAAGTGTACAGATGGGGACAGGAGGTATATAAACTCTGTTATCAATTCCCAAAGTATGGTGAATTTGGAGTATGAAATTGGAGAGGTAAATATTAGCTCATTTATTGGCTTTATTTAGCTTTCCCTCAAATTACATGTTTAAGAGATTTAACCATAGCCAAAAGCTATTTTCAAAGTTCAGCAGAGATGACCAAATGAAAATTAACTAAAAAATTGCTCTAACCTAACAAATGAAAGTAGCAACAGCAAGGTAAATATTTATAGGCTTGGCTATGGCTGATGGTTTCAGTAGGATGTATTTCATTTAATAAGCAGTGAGAAAACTCTCAAGTAACATGTGCAAATATTCAGTTCATCAAATACTTTTTTTTTTTTTCACAACACCACTGTAAGTCTTTGCCATTCCCTTGTTCTTAAAAACATTGCTGTTTCTTTTAATGCATGGAAATTCTAAATCATACAGATTGGGAATTTAAAATAGTAAATAGGGGAAATAATTTTTTTTTTTTTTTTGAGACAGTCTTGCTCTGTCACCCAGGCTGGAGTGCAGTGGCGCAATCTCGGCTCACTGTAACCTCTGCCTCCTGGGTTCAAGTGATTCTCCTGCCTCAGCCTCCCGAGTAGCTGGGATTACAGGCGTGTGCCACCAGGCCTGGCTAATTTTTGTATTTTTAGCAGAGACAGAGTTTCACCATGTTGGCCAGGCTGGTCTCGAACTCCTGACCTCAGGTGATCCGCCCGCCTCAGCCTCCCAAAGTGCTGGGATTACAGGCGTGAGCCACTGCGCCCAGCCTAATAGGGGAAATAAATTTTAATTAAAAATTTCAGTTCTTATATAGAACACATTTAGAGGAAAATACACACGTAAAAGTACACACTTACTACTTTCATTCTTATGCAAAAAAAACTAACTCACTGTATTTGTGATTTAGGTGACTCTACATCCTGAGGATTGCCTATGTGGGTAGAACTTAAGGAAATCAGTTCATACTGAATTCCTCAGTTATTGCTCACTCTGTTTAAGTCTTGTCACAATTTTCAAAAGAGACTGCAAGTTAACTGAATAATCAAAACATTAAATTTGTTCTAAGTATGCTGTTTTGAAGTTGGATTTTGGTTGAATTGTTCTGATAGAATTCAGAATAGAATTCTCATAGAATTTCACTTTATTTAGTCTTTGCACTTTTCCTTTAAACGGAGAAAGCTGAGGCCGAATTTAAGGCTCATAAAGCACTGTCATCTCCTACATCCTGTGTTCTTTACGTCCCACTCTTCCCTCAACCTTCTCTGCTTCTTACTTCATCACCCTTCCACCCCCATATAAGTATCAGAATAAAGTTTGGCCATGTGGTAGCTTATTTTTAGAGATAATCTAAACCAAGGTGGATAATTAGGATACTTTTATGCAGGCTTGAAAACAGCTTATGTTTTCTGAATACTTGCTATTTAAAATAACATAAAACTCAAAAAGAAATCAAGCACACTTGACACTGAAATGGAGCTTACCTTAGAGCCACGTTCATTAAAGATTATTTCTACATCTAGGATTTTGCCAAACTGCTGCAGAGATAAAAATAAAAACGTTTACTTATGGTCAGGTTTTTATCCACATATTTTGTTATCTTCTGAAATGGGAATAGTTTATTTTTCTTCTTCAGTAAACTACTTATTTAACTTCTATGTTTGTATTTGTTAGTAAGTTCCAATACCAGTTTCTGATTTTTCCTCGTCACTGAGCTGACAGTTTATCCACCTGTGTGTGTGGAAGCTGTTGTCCAAAGTTATTCACAGTGTTAGCCCATTAGATACTTCATGTGGACAAGAACCTGGAATTTTCCTAACTACATCTCTTAGTTTTTAGAACAGTCTCAGATTTAAAAAGCAAATCCTAGTAAGTAGAATAATATACTATAGAAGGCTGTTACCCTCCTTTTTTTTACACAAGCAAAGTATATTCACTATATAAAAAGCAGAAAATATAAACAAAAGGAAAAGGGAAAACAGAAAATAAAGATAATCTGCAATCCTATCATCGTAATGCTTTAGTACA
Organism: Homo sapiens; assembly: GCF_000001405.40. Classification (NCBI taxonomy): domain Eukaryota; kingdom Metazoa; phylum Chordata; class Mammalia; order Primates; family Hominidae; genus Homo; species Homo sapiens. Next base: position 99,567 of record NT_187630.1, read on the forward strand.
CAGCATTCCAGGCTTTCCCTCAGGCATGTAGAGATAAGTAACTATAGACATCAGATGCATTCTATAATTTGCTTTAAAAAAAAAAAAAGATGGAGTCTTGAACTGTCACCCAGGCTGGAGTCCAGTGGCACGATCTTGGCTCTCTGTAACCTCTGCCTCCTGGATTCAAGCTATTCTCCTGCCTCAGCCTCTTGAGTAGCTGTGATTACAGGTGCCTGCCACCACGTCCAGCTAATTTTTGTATTTTTAGTAGAGAGGGGGTTTCACCGTGTTGGCCAGGCTGGTCTCGAACTCCTGACTTCATGTGATCTGCCTGCCTCAGCCTGCCAAAGCATATATTGCTTTTATTTTTTAACTTAGCAATAGATTGTGAACAACTATCCGAATCAATATATAACTGTGTTACCACTTCTATAGGCTACATGCTATTCACCACTTTAATATTTCTACAATAACATCAAGAATATTTTAAATAACCACTCTCTTTGGTAATTCTTTAAACATTTTAACATTCAGAAAAGCAAACAAAAACTAAAGACACGAAGCCTAAACTCTACTGTTAGGTAGCTAAATAGCTGACTAGAGGGTTACACAAAACACAATGATTATTTAGGGGGAAAGTATATATAAAAAGAGACAAAACTGTTTTAATCAATGCTTGGATGAAATGAATTGAAGGTATATGCAGAAAATTTCCAGATATCTTTTTGGCTTATATTTCCCTCTGAGTATTGGAGTCATACCTGATTATCTACTTCACTTGGGTTTCAAACCAGACTTTGGGAAATGTGAAAAAAAACTGAAAAATGGAAAGAGCAAAACAGAAATCATGCTGTTCCATTGGACTGAATCACCTACTATCTTTATCAAAAAACTTGTATTAATAACCCAAGTTTTCTACAGTAAGACATCTTGGTTTGGTTTAATAGAAGAATCACGGAAAAAGGAAAATGTTTTATTTTAGATGGGAGGGCATTTATGCTTATCCTATAAAACTAAGATTTGTATGGTGCTTTGGAGTTTGTTTTGTTTTATATTTTCTAATGCATTCTTATAATATCCTTCTGGAGTAAGGATCACACTCCTTTTATGGTTAAGACGAATGAGGCTAAAAGAAGCTATTTGTCAAGTTTATGAAGCTAATGAAATGGAGCATGGATGCCTGCTCTTTACCAACGTTACTGTTCTTCTAAGTAACAGAGAGTCACAATGTGGAAGAAAATAAAGCAACTAGGTATCTCTGGTAAGGAAAAAATTATTTCTTTTGCACTTTATGCCTTATGAGAAGGGCATAATACATTTCAAGAAGTCACTAACTGGCCTAGGCAGATCTGCAATGGACACTATTTCTCTGACTCAAGAGAAAACACACTTCTGGCAGATGAGAATGTACTCCATTCTCACAGACCTCCAGAGACTAAGATTTTATATAAGCTCTAATAATTCAGTAGAGAACCTAATAACTCATGCTCCCGAGAAGTTTCTTCTGCGTAACCCAAGTCCTTTATGCTGCCCTTTATTTTCTGTTGCTCTCTTCTCAGAAAAAATGGAAAATATCTGGTTACCATTTTCTGTGTAAAAGCTCTTCAAATACTTCAAGAACATCATTAAATCTCAACTCTGGCCTTCTCTTTAGTGCGGAAAATACATCCAAGTAGTCAGCTATAAATGACAGAATTTTGCCCCAGTGTCTTGTCACCGTGAAGTGGCCACAACCAAGACTTAAAGAAGAGCATCTGCTTTTCTAATAAAGTACCAGGCAGCTATCCTAGTGGAATTTAAAAAAGAAAACAAACAAACAAAAAAAAAAAACAAAAAAACTATTGATTATCTCTGGGTTAAGAGTTTGGTCAAATTCAAAAAGCAATAACAAGCAGGCTCAGAAAAAATTAAGATCCTTAGCAGCCATTCACTAACTTCCCAACAACTCAAATCTTTGCAATTTAACTTTTTTTCATGATGGTGATTCAGGAGGAAATAAACAGTTGAAAGAATACATCAGAGGTAGCAAACCAATCCTCTACAATGATTTTAGATATTGGTCTTGACACTGTGCAGTATGAGCAACAACGTATTATAAAAACAAAACACTGAGGTACTGTTTTCACAAATGTTATTTCATTTAATTTATAACACTCTGAAAGGTAGACATTACTGTCTCTATGTTTATAAATATGATATTTAAATTCAAAAAGGTTACATGAATTCCAAAGTTCACATGCGAATAGAATTTGAACCCAGGCTCTTTGACTCCAAAATCTATACTCTTTCCACTTCAATAAGCCACCTCTAAACCTGTATTCTCTACATTGTGAATCTTTTTAGACATTACAAAGCTAAGTAGAGAGTGGCAATAACGCATCCCTGAACCTAGTTTCTTTGGTCTTGGAGTTGAGGGAGATAAGAGGAGAGGAAGGCAGTATTGAGCTGGACTTATATGGAAGGTAAAGAAAAAACAAAGAAGGCGACAGGATGAATAAGCAATGGTTCCCAAACTTATGTGCACATTAGTATCAGCTGGGGATTTTGTAAACATACCAAAGCCCAAGCCACACTCCAGGCCAATTAAATCACAACCCTAGAATGTCAGGCATAGGCATCAATATTTTTTAAGCTTCCCAGGTAATTTCCAGTGTGCAAACAAGTTTAGGAATCATTGCTCTAAAAGAATGTGCATGTTTGTTCTTGCAGATGAAACTAAGCATATTATTGGTATGTTTACTGAGTTTGGTAGGTGAGTAGGGTGACCATCCTGGTTTCAGCACTGAAAGTCTCACATCACAAGAAACCCCTCAGTCACAGCAAGCTGGGTCATATCGCCACCTTATGTGTGCAGCCACCTGCAAGACTATGTCTAGAGCAGACTGGATGACAGAAAAAGGCTTCTAAAGACTGATGAAAAGACTGATTTACCTCAGGTTCTTTCAATCTATTTGTAGTTTAATCCTAAAGTAATAATGACTAATAACACATCTGGGGGATTAAAATCTACTTTAATTGTAAAATCCATAAAAAGACTTCAGAGACTTACCCCAAACATCTGCCGGAGGTCAGGGTCCCGGAAGCGGAAAGGAATATTAGAGACATGCAGCCGTTTCGGGGTAGATTTACTCTCTGAATTTTCACTACTTTGTGTCTGTGACTGCTGGCCGTCTGTCTGTGCTCCACCTTCTGTCTGCTAAGCAAAGAAATAAAGAATGAAAAATATACACAATTACTTTAAAATAATTAAAGTTATCCCCCCACAGCAATCATCCCCAAACAGGGTATGTTTAAGCAAAAATCACAGTAGTCCCTTCAAAGACAAAAGCAACAACAACAGCAGCAACAACAAAACACAAAGATGCTATTAATGTTCTAAATGCTACCGTCTACAAACAAAATGTTGGTGTTTTGAGTATTTATAGTATGCTAACAAAATGGGAGCTAACGAACACGGAAGTACTAAGTGACTTGCCCAAGATCACATGGAGATACATTAGGATCTGAAGATACAAAAATAGTTCCTTCATTCTTAGACTCTTAGAACTTTCTATTTTTAAGATATTTCTATTTTGAAAATAGAGTCTGTTGTACTTAGTTATGGAGGTCACTTCATTTTTTGGTCTATGATCTCAGGCTCTCTCAAGGAAATGAAATAAGGAAATATTTTTATATTTCATTCCCTCTATTAGCTCTAGAGTTACTACTACTATGTTGCCAAAGTATTATAATGATATTATTTATGAAGAGGAAAGACCTAGCAACAACTGAAGAAGCTTCTTTTTTTTGGAGACAGAGTCTCGCTCTGTCGCCCAGGCTCGAGTGCAGTGGTGCAATCTCGGGTCACTGCAAGCTCCACTTCCCGGGTTCACGCCATTCTCCTGCCTCAGCCTCCCGAGTAGCTGGGACGATAGGTGCCTGCCACCACGCCCGTCTAATTTTTTGTATTTTTGGTAGAGACGGGGTTTCACCCTGTTAGCTAGGATGGTCTTGATCTCCTGACCTTGTGATCCGCCCGCCTTGGCCTTCCAAAGTGTTGGGATTACAGGCGTGAGCCACCGTGCCTGGCCAAGAAGCTTCTTACTCTGAAACAAATCTGTACTCTCCTCCCTAACTTATGCAATTCCAGCTAACTTTAGTACAGGGGAACCCAACCTTCTGCAGCCCAGAGCAAACTGCATTGAGAGAATCTAACTGTTGGAAAAGGCTTTAGAGACCCTGACTCATCTGCTAATTAGCATAAAAATGCAAGATTTGCACATACCCACAGTTAAAGAGTATAAATGAGTGTGGGTATGCATTTATTTATTTATTTATTTTTTAATTTTTTACTTTTTGCACTCATTTTAATGGGTTGTGCATGGTAACCCAATACGCTCACACATGCACACAAGAATCACATGCAGAAATCAAAGTTTCAAGACAGGACAGCTACTGTATGTGCCTGCACTCTGTTATTTTCTAGTTTGTTTTCCTTTTTCTTAACTACCATAACCCGGTAAATTGAATTTACAACCCACTAAGAGGTCACAGCCTGAGGACCGGAAAACAGTGAACTAAACAACCTCTTTGAGCACTCTGGTGCTTCCAGAAAACCACGTTTTTGCTGCAGCATCCTCAGCACCATTCCACAAGGAGGGAGGCAACTCATCCCATGTTCCCATGTTACACAGGAGGAGACAGAACAGGGAGCTCTCCGTGGGCCACCCCATTAAGCCAGTCGGAGCACCTGGACTCAGATCTCCCAAACTTCATCTGATTTCCACTCAATCACGCTGCCTTTCCACGTGGCTTTTAAAATCATTGCTAAGCCTTGTTTCCATGATGCCACACTCAAGTTTTAAGTGAAAATATATTACAAAATAAAAACTTTTTTTTGAAACTATACTGCTGCAGAAAAAGCACACGCCAAGAGTCTGCATTTTGGGTGTGGTGGGTGGGAAAAACCTACAACATGAGGTCTACAGGGTAGCTGCTTTTCAAAAGCGAGTTTGGGGGGGCACAGCGTGGAGGGGGTGACCACTAGAATGGTCATTGAACAGTCATTTGCTGTTCTCCAATCAGGAAACTCCAGCAGCTGCAGAGAACATCCGGAATCAGAAGTGAACACCTGAATAATGACCTTCCGGGCCATAAAGATGGTCTTCTGATGAGAAAGCCAGGGCCCCCAGACACCACGTGTCCTGCATGGAATCACTGATTGGCCAATAGCAGGGCCCACAAGGAAGCCTGGAACTTTCAAGGACGGCCCCACACTACTCTAAAAATGTTTCCACCACCAATACCCGCTTGAATGGGCCCATGCCTGTAAGGAAGGCACTATCAACTCACACCAATTCCAAAGGAAGAAATCCAGGCTCAGGGGCTTCCCAGTGAAGACAGGCACACCCCCCTGAAAACCACACCCTAGACTACAATGCATGGTCCTCTGCTGGACAGACCCCGTGGCCCGTCCTCAGGATGCCAGAACAGGCTGCTCAGTGACATGCGCTGAAGCGGGCAGGGACGGGCACTGGGAGATCCTGCCTGTGCAGAAAAAGTCCTCCCAGGAAGCAAACCACATTTCCAATCTGGTGAATCACGCTCAGTAAAATAAAATCCAGGCCAATCAGCTATGCCTTCAACTCAAAAGAATCTGAAGAGTACATAAGTTAGTTACACATTGTCACCAAAGCAGTTAGGGAGAGCTTCTGATATGCTGAAAACCAAGGGAAAGGGGATGGAGATGAACAAAAATGATCTCATTAGGCCAGAGGCAGGCGAAGTCACACCACTTCTGGAAAAGTGTAACAATAAGGCAAGAACTCAGGTTCCCACGGAGAGGCACATGGGCTGAGGGTGACTGGGTGCCTGCAGGCAAATTCCTTAACCTCCCTGCCCTCCTGGCACCTCATGCCCGACATAGCCTCTGGTATTGGGAGTGGTGCGGTATCAGACAGCTGCTCTCCTTCAGGCCAGCCTTTGCTGTCCACGCAGGGAGGCAGGCAGGCAGTCAGGCAGTCATTCAGGTAGAAGACTTTCTAAGGCTTCCACTGCCCAAGGGCTGCATGGGCATCCTTCAATGAAGACAGATGCTTGGTGGTCACTATCCCCATTCTTCTTCAATCTCATCCTCCTTGTGGTTTTAGAAGCCGCGGACCAAGTCCTGCAGGTTCTTGTCGAACATGCAGTCGATGATGCCCTTCACCATCTTGAGGGCCATGGTGGTGGCCCATGGGCTTTTGCCCCGGGAGGCCCGCAGCTGGTTGCCGTGAGAGGGCCCGGGGGCCGCGACCACCGCCGGCAGATTGCTGCGTTGCCGGCCGCTGCGGTGGGGCAGGCTCCTAGGCCAGGGCGGTGGCAGGGTTTGAGGACCGTGACAGAGGTGGCGACCCACTCCACAGAGGGCGCGATCCCACTCCAGGCCTCTTGCAAAGGGTGGACATGCATTTATTTATTTTTATTTTATTATTATTTTTTTCAATTGAGACAGTGTCTCACTCTGTCCCCCAGGCTGAAGTATAATAGCGAGATCAAAACTCACTGCAGCCTCAACCTCCTGGGTTCAAGTGATCCTCCCACCTCAGCCTCCCGAATGGCTGGCACTACAGGTACGCACCATCACACCCGGCTGAATATGCATTTTTAATCATGAATCTCTTTTGCAACATCCCAGCATGCATTTATCTAATTATTTTTTTCACTAAATCCTCAAAAAAGTTATGTTGAGAAAATTTTTGATAAGTATCTAACAGGTGTGACACATTCTAGGCATGCAATTTTGAAGTATTCATCTGGCAATCGAAGAGCCTTGTGTTTTTACTATTCCCTATGAAGTGCATGCCAAACCCGATGGCTTGCTGAGCTGATTAAACCAACATACTTTTAAAACAGGAGTGGAACTTGCTGTTCTTATTCTCTCAAATGAGATAGAAGTGAGTCCCCAACAGATTCTTCTAGGTGACAGGATGCATCCCCTCCCTTTGACTTTCAGGCTAAAAGAAGCTGTGAATCAGAGATACTTCTGGCTCAGAGATGTTGGCAACCATCTTGAAATGAAGTTTGAAACTTTAAAATATAAAGGATAATCAGGAATAAACTCCAAATGAATAACAGCTTTTCAAGTGTCAATTTAAGTGATGGCAGCTTTTTATCTCATTCCATTCAGGCCTTGCAGATGGCTTAAATGTGCAATGATTCATGTGATATAAAAATAGCAGAAAAGGGAAGAGCTATGAAGCAATGTTCTGTGAAAGTGTACGGTTTTCAATTATCAGTCTTGGCACAATGCAGACTAAGTAACACAAATCCCATTTAAAGATGAAACTCACTAAGTTACTAAAACAGCATCAAGCAAACCAACACGCAGTCAAAGCAACAAGCATCAATTACAACTAATGCTCATTCAAGCACCTTCAAACTTGCCTCTTAACATCTCACAGTTGGATCACATGAAACTTTATCTTCAATCAAACTTTAAAACCACCAGATCTGGTCTGCAAGATGACAATGTATCACTCTGAGGAAAGTTAAAAAGACTGATTCCACAAACTCCAAATTACACTTTTACATATAACTTTATATGTAGCCCATGTAATCTGTCACAGTGTATGTGAAGTGGCAGGATAAATGAAAACTAATGATTACTTCAAAGTATGTTGCCCAAGGTGCTTATCTGTAGCTCTTCATAGTTCTTTGCTTCTCTGAAGACACAATTTAAGATCAGAAGCAAGACTGGTTAATTTTGCAGCTTGTAGTGAACACCCGTCCCCCTTGTTTTTAAGTATGAAATCTTTAATTCTAAGTCGATCTGCCATGTAGAAAAAAGTGACCTATCATTTCCTAAATTCTCAAGACTTCTGATCTAATGCAATTTTTAAATTGAAGTTTAACATACATAGATAAAAATACATAAATTATAAGCATAGAGCTGAATATTCACAATGAAACGTACACCCATGTAACCACCAAATTAGATCAAGAAACAAGATACCAGAAGCACCCTGGGGGGCCCCCACCAGTCACGGTTCCCCTGGCAAAGGGTCACGAGGATCCTGACTTCTAACTCTAGGCCTCCCAAAGTGCTGGGATTACAGGCGTGAGCCACAGCGCCTGGCCTGGAGTGCATGTTCTTAGCCATTATATTGTACTTTACATATATTATTTTCTTTAACCCTCACAATAACTCTGTGAAACAGGTACTACCATTATCTCCAACTGACAGAGGAAGATGCTAAGTGCAGAGATGTTCAGTTAGTTGTCCAAGGTCACACAGTAAGCAGCAGACTAGGAATTCAAAACTAGGCAGCCCAATTTCATATGTGAAATCACTTCCTTTCTAGCACTGTACCCATCCTCTCTTCTTCTCATTAGAAACGAGAACCCATACGAACCCCACCCCTCTCTTACCTTCTTAGGACTCTCATCTCATGCAGCAAGAGTCTCCGGGAGTGGAGACAGGCATGGGTAAGAGACACGGAAGGCTACACTAGAGGTGACATGGGTTCTATACCTTTTTAAATTTTTTTGAGTAAGGGTCTCCCTCTGTCGCCCAGGCTGGAGTGCAGTGTGGCAATCTCAGCTCGCTGCAACCTCCACCTTCTGGGTTCAACTGATCCTCCTGCCTTAGCCTCCCAAATAGCTGGGACTACAGGTGCGAGCCACTACACATGACTAATTTTTATATTTTTTGTAGAAATGGGGTTTTGCCATGTTGCCAGGCTGGTTTGAACTCCTGAGCTCAAGCGATCTGCCTGCCTCAGCCTCCCAAAGTGCTAGAATTATAGGCATGAGCCACTGTGCCTGGCTAGGTTCTATACCTTGAGGAAAGAGAAATAGGTCAGGCTATGCAGAGAAAGGGAAAGGAAAGGGAGAGAAAAGAAAACCAGCAAAGGGATGCTGACATTTAATTAGGAAAAAAGCCAAAGAACTACTAAACTGATACAGGGACTTAAAAGTGGTTTTCTGTACAGAGTAGAAATAGGAATAGAAAATATTGGTCATACTATATTAACGTACTTAAATGAGATCTTATCTCACAACTGGGACATTCTCACTTTAAATTTATCCCAATACAGACTACTAATTGCTGAAATATATAAATCAGAGAGAAAAAGGGAAATAAAAGTTTTTAAGTCTTATCTTTGTGAAAAGTGGACAGTTAAAATTGATCTAAGAAAAATCTCAGTCTACAACAGCACTGGTCTGCATTATTTTCTCTTGCTAGCTGCTGAGCACCTTTACTGACCATATAAACAACTTTCCAAGGTTGTGGTTTTCCCTTTTGTGGTCATTATCCGACCTAACGTATCCACTGGGCAAGGCATAAAACAGAAGAGGCTGGATGGAGTCCGTTCACCGACAGTTTAGAGTGAGGACTAGCGGCAGTGCTGGCCTGATGCAATCATATGGCTAAAACCTATACATCTACCCTTCAAACAACTCATCTTCCCTGGTGCAGCTGAGCTAGCCATCAACACTGCACAGGAGGTCGGCACCAATTACACTTAATAGCAAACTAGAATTTTAAGTCTCAGAATCTCATCCTAGAAATGAGGACTACAAATGTTTTCTTTTTTTGATGACTTCAAATTTTTAAAATACTTCTAACTAGGAAATTGATTGATTTTTCTGACTCTTCTATGATACAATGGAAATATTTTAACTATACATTGTCAACAAATGTTCTGTCATAATCTAAAGGGAATTCTGAGTGACACAAGATTAAGTATAACTTTCCAAGTCTATCAGATTAAGATTAAACACATACGACTCTGATATAGATACTAAGGAATCTCTTAATGAATTCAGAAATATTTTGATTTATGGATTATCCACTTTCTTCAATATTTATTTTTCCTCTTCCCCCCCGTCCCCCAATAGAAGTCTTCATTTCTTATTTTCATCTCTTTGAGGCTAACAGAGAAAAAAAGCAAAATAGGAAATTCAGTTTAGCACAGTAAATTTTTTGAGAATCTGATTCATGGCTGAAAATATCTATTTAACCATCCCAGTTTAATGATAGTTTGGCTGGTCACAGAATTATAGGTTGGAAAAAAAAATCCCTTCAGAATTTTGAAGATAACTCTCAATTGTCTTCTAGCTTTTAGCCTTGCTGCTGAGAAATCTGAAGGCATGATTCCCATCTCCTTGTATGTGACTTTTTTCTTCTCTCTTGCAGCTTGTAGGACTATCCAAATACACCTGATGTTCTAAAACAGTGTCCATAGTTATATGCCTCAGTGTGGACTTGTTTCATTTTCACCTACTTTGTGGAGAATTCTGTGGTCTCTTTCAAGATGAAAATTAATGTCCTCAGTCCTGGAAGTTTTCTTGTGTTATCGGGTGATGATTCTCACGCTACACATTTTCTTTCGGGAAGCTGTATTATTGGATCTTCTGGACCGGTCCTCTAATTTTCACATCTCTTCTCTTGTATTTCCCATCTCTGCCTTTTTGCTCCATTTTTCTGGGATATAGGTCCTTAATCTCTTATCTGAAACCTTTGCGGCCAAATGCTTATCAGAATTTTTAGAATTTTAGAAAGTTAATATAGAATATAACCCATAATGTAATACCCACCCCTCATCCCACCCACATACAATGAGATCTGAGACAGTGATATTTCTTTAGCAAAATCTATAAAGGATAGAAATAGGTTGTGTTGTAAACTTATGAAAAATATAATTTTCAGAACTTTTGGGATTTTGGAATTGTGGATAAGAGACCGTAGGCCAGGTAGAGCGGCTCACACCTGTAATCCCAGCACTTTGGGAGGCTGAGGTGGGTGGATCACCTGAGGTCACGAGTTCAAGACCAGCCTGGCCAGCATGGTGAAACCCTGTTTCTACTAAAAATAGAAAAATTAGTTGGGCGTGGTGGTGCGCGCCTGTAATCCCAGCTACCTGGGAGGCTGAAGCAGGAGAATTGCTTGAACCCAGGAGGCAGAGGTTGCAATGAGCTGAGATCGCACCATTGCACTCTAGCCTAGGCCACAGAGCAAGACTCCATCTCAAAAAAAAAGAAAAAGATGTAGACCTTTATTTTTTCAGTTTCATCTTCAAGTCAGCCAGATAAAGTTTTTCATTTTGTTGCCATGTTTTTAATTTCAAGGACTCATTTTCCTTTTCTGAAACTCAACCCCCATCCCCCAAACTAGCATTTCATTCCTGTTAATACAATTTCTTCTCTCTCTGAGCATATAAATGTAATTGTGGGGGAAAGGTCCTACTCCCTGTAACGTGGTGGTGGTGGTTGTTGTTTTGGTTTCTTTTTGTTATCTATCTTCCAAGTTGTGGGCTTTCCTGGTACCTAGTAATCATTGGTTGTCTATTCAGGACTTAAGAGTTGAGGGGGTAGGTGGCAGGTAGCTAAAAAATTTGGGAAGTCTGAGTGGGTGGAGTGGAGGCTTGGGGGACTTTGTGATTCCTTCATTCTAAGTTGTTAGGTAAGCAATTTGTTCTTTAAGTCTTCTTGAGCAAGTCAGGTTCTTCAAAAAAGTCTTCCAATCTTCTAACTGATGTCACCAGTTTCTGAACTTTTGAAATTTTTGTGGTGTAAGTAAAATTAATCTCATGTATTCAAAACTGGATCTAATAGTAACTATTTAATAAAATCTTATAGTACTGTGTGTACATGTTTTAATCAAGGCAGCAAAATAGGGCAACATAGCCTATGCTTGTTTTGAGCTGACATGTATATTCTAGGAAACATTGCTTGCTTTCAAAATAACTTTTATATTTCAAGTGAAGAAGGGCCTACGTTATAGTCATTCTCCAATGCAAACACAAAAGGTTAAGGGAGAATAAGCAGATGAAGTAGGAAATGAGATGTGGTTATCATCTAATGGCAAGTCCATAAATACAAAATTTTTTCCTTTTTCTGTTCTTTAGAGCCTAGAAGTACCTCAGATATAAGGTGAGGATTATTAAAATATTTGTGATAAGGAGACATGGCAACTAACTACAGTATGGGATTCAGAATAGAGAAAAAGACATTACTGGAAAAAATGAAATTTAAAATAAGGCCTATATTTTACCTAATAGCACTATATCAGTATTCAGTATTTCTTATTGCCTAGTTTCAAACATTCTACTATAGCTATGTAAGATGCTAACATTAGGGGAACTGGGTGAAGGGTATGCAGAAATCTTCTGCATATTTTTGCAAATTTACTGTGAATCTAAAATAATTTCATAATTAAAAGTTTTGGCTGGGTGCAATGGCTCACACCCAGGCTGGCTTTAATTCCAGCACTCTAGGAGGCCCAGGAGTTCGAGACCAGCCTGAACAACCCTGGTGAAACCCTATCTCTACAAAAAATACAAAAATTAGCCAGGAATGATGGCGTAAGCCTGTACTCCCAGCTACTTGGGAGGCTGAGGTGGGAGGATCAATTGAGCATGAGAGGTCAAGGCTGCAGTGAGCTATGATCATATCACTGCACTCCTGCCTGGGCGACAAGGCAAGACCCTGTCTCAAAACAAAAAACAAACACACACACACACAAAAAAAGCAAGCAAGGAAACAAGCAAGCTAGAAAAAAAATTACAAGTTTTAAAAAAGAAAAAAGTAGGCCTGGCGCAGTGGCTCATGCCTGTAATCCTAGCACTTTGGGAGGCCGAGGTGGGTGGATTACCTGAGGTCAAGAGTTCGAGACCAGCCTGGCCAACATGGTGAAACCTCGTCTCCACTAAAAATACAAAAATTAGCCAGGCGTGGTGGCGGGTGCTTGTAATCCCAGCTACTTGGGAGACTGAGGCAGGAGAATCACTTGAACCCAGGAGATGGAGGTTGCAGTGAGCCGAGATCGCACCATTGCACTCCAGCCTGGGCAACAGAGCAAAAACTCTGTCTCAAAAAAAAAAAAAAGAAGAAAATATTTTAGGATGTCAGGTTCTAAACCCTTAAATATTAAAACACTAAAAATGTTTAACTGGTTTAATGATTATATACAGGCACGAGTGTAAACAAATATTTATGTTTTGTATTCAAAATGTGATTGGAACTCTTATGAAACTTAGAAAGAGACTGAAAGTACATTCATTTCAAATTATTGGTTTGATGAAGAAAAAAACCCACATTTAAATCTAACATTACTATTAATCCATTTCACAATTAGAAACAGTTTAACTTGTAACTCTCATTATTTTACATACAAAAAACCAATCATATAAAGCTTCATCTCCTACTGCACTCTCTCTGAAGACATTACAGTTTTAAGAACAAAAATATCAATCACTCCTGGTTGGGCTCCATTTATTTCGAATGGGAGGGGGTGGTGATCTTCAGATAAGGTATGTAAATGAATACTTTCCATAGACTCAAATAGGTAATTTTCACAGTATTATGAAGTCAACATTTAGTGTAAGGGACATAGTTCTGAAAAATGTGTCATTCAAGAATAAGCCTATCAAAGGTCAGTAGATATTTCTATTAACTGCTCAAAGTACATCTGCCATGTGAATTACCATGCAATTCAAATAGCTTTCAAATTAGGCAACTATTGCTGGGTGTGGAGGCTCACACCTGTAATCCCAGCACTTTAGGAGGCTGAGGCAGGTGGATCACTTGAGGTTAGGAGTTTGAGACCAGCCTGGCCAACATGGTGAAACTCTGTCTCTACTAAAAATACAAAAATTAGGTAGGCGTGGCAGTGGGCACCTGTAATCCCAGCTACTTGGGAAGCTTTGGCACGAGAATTGCTTGAACCGGGAGGTGGAGGTTGCAGTGAGCCGAGATTATGCCACTGCAGTCCAGCCTGGGTGACAGAATGAAACTCCGTCTCAAAAAAAAAAAAAAAAAAAGAAAAGAAAAGAAAAGAAAAGAAAAGAAAAGAAAAAGAAAAAGAAATTAGGCAACTATTAACAAAATTTTCATTTGCAGAGATTCACACTGAATCAAAATTTGCACAAAAGTGAAACATTATTAACTTTTTATATCAGATTTCAAATCTAAATGATTTAAATTTGAATAAAATAAGATTATGACATATTTAATATTCAACGAATTGAAATGGAAACATCATAGCCTACTAAGTATTTGATATTCATTTTCTCATCTAATCTTGCAAACAACCGTAGGCGGAAGGAACTATTATCATCATTTTTACAGATAAGGAAAATGAGCATTGGAGTTCTAATTCTCTCATGGTTACACATTCAGTCAACAGAAGGAGCTGAGAGCTGAACCAGCGCAACCTGATTTACAGGCTCACACTCCCTAAACACAATATAGCCTTTTTAAAAAAATAAAAACACTTTAAAATTTTCAGTTTTTCCTTACAATATTTTACAAAGTTGGCCAGGATACTTTTCATTATGCCATTGCATAGTATCTCAAAAAACAAGAACTACAATCCATGTTAGAACATCAACCAGATTTGTTAGCACTTAAAGTACTTTTGTTTTAATTTTCTTGGAGACAGGGTCTCCCAATGTTGCCCAGGCTGGTCTCAAACTCCTGGGCTCAAGAGATTTACAGGCCTAAGCTTCCCAGGTTGCTGGGATTACAGGTGCATGCCACCATGCCTAGCTAAGCATTTTGAAAATGTTTCTAATGGGGCCGGGTGCAATGGCTCACGCCTGTAATCCCAGCACTTTGGGAGGCCAAGGCGGGTGGATCACCTGAGGTCAGGAGTTCGAGACCAGCCTGGCCAACGTGGTGAAACCCCATCTCTACTAAAAATAGAAAGAAATTAGCCAGGTGTGGTGGCAGGCGCCTGTAATTCCAGCTACTTGGAGGCTGAGGCAGGAGAATCGCTTGAACCCGGGGGGCAGAGATTGCAGTGAGCTGAAACCACGCCATCACACTCTAGCATGGGCAACAAGAATGAAACTCTGTCTCAAAAATAAATAAATCAATGAATAAAAATGTTTACGATGGAGTTCCTGATGGGTTAAAACTTGGTGGAATTAGATCATATGCATTCCTTCTCACAGAGTACAAACGCAATAACATGATAAAATATTTTTCAAAAAAGTAAAATCTTAGCCCACATGCTTAGCTACTGAAAAATCAATGTACTTCATGGTGCTAAAATAATATATAAGACAATTATAATCAATTGAATATAAAATTATTTTATCAAATATCACCACCAAAACAATTTTTTAGACACAGAAAAGTGAATTTACATTTACTTAGAGCAACTCCCTATTTAAGAATAATTACTTTTAGATTTATTTTAAAGAGAAATGCTTAAACATTTCTTCTGTGCATTTGAACACTGTTATGACAAGCTGAATTCTGAGAGTCTAATCCTGTTTGGGCATTCAAATGTAAGCTAACTTTTTTTAATAAACGAGTAATTCCATTTCTTCTGAAAATATGTGATTCCATTTTCTCAGAGTGTCAAAGTGCCACAAAAAGGAATTATGAAAGGCATCATTTGTATATGTAACATGATCATGTACTGATTATCAGTGTCACGCTGTGAAACAAAAACCACAGCAAGTCATTTTTTTAAACAGGAGTAAGAATTGTATAAAATTATATGTAACATATAAATAGTGACATGCACACAGAATATCACCTCAATTTTTTAAAACTTTATACCTGAGTGATTATTTTAACGTTCATTTAGAATGAAAGAAATTTGTTAGTATGCTCAAGCTAGAGTCCTAGGTTAAAAGTTGAAGAGTAAGTAGAAGCTAAGATGGTTAAGACTCTCTATGGATGTCTTTTTTTTTTTAAATCACCATTTGCATGGAGAAGCAGGAAAAAAGCACTTGACTGACAGCAGACTTCCTAAGGCCCAGCTCTGTAACCAGCTAGCTGTAACTTGCTCAAATCACTTAACACCACTGACCTCAGCTGTAAAAGAAGATGCTTTTAAAAATGCTTTTTAGGCCGTGCGCGGTGGCTCACACCTGTAATCCCAGCACTTTGGGAGGCTGAGGCAGGTGGATCACAAGGTCAGGAGATCGGGACCATCCTGGCTAACATGGTGAAACCCAGTCTCTACTAAAAATACAAAAAATTAGCCAGGCGTGGTGGTGGGCACCTGTGGTCCCAGCTACTCAGGAGGCTGAGGCAAGAGAATGGCGTGAACCCGGGAGGCGGAACTTACAGTGAGCCGAGATCACGCCACTGCACTCCAGCCTGGGTAACAGAGTAAGACTCTGTCTCAAAAAAAAAAAAAAGTTTTTTAGCTTTAAACTTCATCAGTTCTGATCAGAGTTTACTCATTTTCAAGAGGTAGTATAAAGTATTTATGAAAAATGTAAACAGGTTAAAAAAATTGCCCCTAAATAATCCTTACTACTTCATCATCCTTGCCCTAAGCTGTGAGAGCAGTAAGGGGCAGCGGAGCACAGCATTAACGCGCCTAGCAATTTTTTAGTTTAGTTTCCCTTGGGCATTAGGAGTAAGTAGGTAAGTAAATAAACCAAGGCATGCAAAGAGAAGAAGCAACAGTCATGGAGTTAGCAATATTAACATGTGCTGAAAGGATGTCTTGAGTCTTATATGATCCAAAGGGCAATTTTCTCTATTCAAAAATACCCATGCATAATTCTAAATTTGGTTTTCTGTGGCAACTCTCACATTCTCAAACCAGGTGATAGCTTCCTTATGGATCCAGCTTGGAAACTGCCAAACTACTCATAGACATCAAAATTTTGGAGCTAAAGGACAGATGTAATTATTTTTAAGGGTAAATTGATACAGGATATATATATTTTATGTAGGCTCAATGTACCCTGCCTTTTATTACTTTGAGGGAAAAATAAGAGCCACTCTTGGAAAAGTGGATGGCTGAATGAATAAATTCCTCCGTAGTCCAAGACCTCTACATCTAGCCTGGAAACAGAACATGCTAATGACACCTACACTGTGGGCTGAAGGTAATATAGCCCAACAATACATAGTATGATAGACTGTGGCCCCCCTTCTTCCCATTATGTTCTAGAAATACTCATTTGGGCAAATGATCCCACTGTTAAGGGCTATACCTTCTTGGCTACGTTTTAGTGCATCACTAATCTGCAAGGCACCTTCAACTGTTATCAGATAAAGAAGTCAATGGGCAATACCAATTGATAATAGAGAAGTGAAAGAAAAATTGGCTTAAACTCCAGAGAAGGGGTGTGTAGAAAAGCAAAAAAAAAAAAAAAAAAAAAAAAAATCCTCTGAGCATAATGGTCAACAGGGGCTTTCCAGTGAGGAGGGTTATAAAATCTACAGCTGACTAATATAGTAATAAAGTGGGCCACTCAGCTATTTGCTCAAATCTCTACTTTCAACTCACCAACAAATATTTCAAAGGATGCTTAGCTCTTTAGAGTATAAAATTCCAAATTCTTTGGCCTTGAATTCAAAGTCCTCTATAATTTAGCTTTATCAGCCTCTCTTATTGAGCATTATTGCTTCAGAAGAGAGCCTTCTGTTCCAACTAAAGATACTGTAAGCAAAACATCATGCTGTACAACAGTATAAATACATACAATCTTGTCAACTTAAAAAAACTTCTTAATTTTTATTTTTTAATGTTTAGCAATGGGGTCTTGCCTTGTTACCCAGGCTAGTCTCTAACTCCTGGACTCAAGTGATCCTCCCACCTCAGCCTCCCTAAGTGCTGAGATTACAGGTATGATCCACTGTGCCTGGCCTACAAAGAAAAGAATCTTCTATTTACATCCCCACCTCCATGTGGGAAACCCTTTTAACTCTTAAACATGACTGAGGATTCAGAGAGCTTTTTGTTTCTTTAGGTAATATCCATTGTTATTTATGGCATTAGAAATTGAAGCTGATAAATTTTTAAAGTATTTAAAAATTAATTTTAAATAATAAGCCAATTATGTGTTAATGTAAATAACATATTTTAAAGAAAATTAACTACATTTTCCAAAACGTAATAAATTTACTTAGAAGACTGGCACTCCTTTTAATGTATGGATTTACTATTACAGTATGTTATTTTAACTTAAGTATACAAAGAAAAATCTGGCCTCACAGATAGCTAGAAAAGGGAAAAGTATTTCAATAGCCTTCTCAGAAAACTGTGGAGTCTTCTTTGATAATACATCAAAACTTGACAAGTGGTACTTTCTTAAAAGTTAACTGCAATGTCGAATCTGAAACCTTATCAGTGAACTTTTCATATGTTATTACACTAAAATCCACTGGACAATCATGCACTTTGCATGAATCTTTTACTCATGATTTTGTAACATTAAACCTCAGTCATTATTTGTAAAATATCGGCTTACTGAGTTACGGAGCTCTTTCAAATGTGAGGACATTGCATTATACAAGACCACATTTGTTACTATCATCACGGATCTCATCAGAAAAAATCTTTAAGTACTGAGAAACTGTCGAGCTCATAGTGGAGGACACAAATTTTTCAAAATTCTAATTTCTACCAGGAGAGCTTACATTTTACCAATGGAAAAAAATAGTGTCAGTTTCTTCCCTTGAAGTGGCAGGCCCACTTCATTTTCAAGAAAATGGTGTATAATGTAAATACTTTCTTTCTTTTTCTTAGTTTGATGTAATTAGAATCATTTACTTAGGAGACATAGCATGTTATTGAGTCTTTCACTTAAATATAAGGTTTTCCTAACTGGATAATTAGGAAAATAAAATACATTTATTTCCCCTTATACACTCTTCAAACATAATTTAGAGCTACCTTCTTTTAAATCAAAATATCAGTCCTTAAATAATTTTTTGAAATACATATATAGGGGCAATAACTACTTAATAGTAACAACAAAACTAATATATTTGAGTGCCAGATGCATAAAACTGAATATTATGGTTTGTCCATTAATTGTTCTTACAAGAAAAAAATGGTGCTCCATGAAAAAAGCAGCTAGTTCAGCTTGCAACTCAATCACACAGTACTTTTCCTTGAAACAATGAAAATATTTTGGTATGTAACACAAGTGCTTTATGAATACTTTTCACTTTGCCATGTAGAATATGAAAAATATCATATACTAATGTGGGAAATTAATAAAATTAATACTTTTTACTGCTTCATCAAGGACATTCTTAAGTGAACGTGATTTTTTTGTTTTCCTGTGAGTCTGTGACAGTGAAGAATATGATGGCTGCCAGCAGCACAGTTTGGTGCCACGGCCTTGATTCATGCTAAGGTGCTAGCAGTTTTACCCACCATTGCTTCTGTACTGACCGTCAAAGCAAATATAGTGAAAACAGCAAGAATGTATTGGTATTACTATGAAAATAATACCTTGCATTGACTTCATAGCTCCCTCGACCCAGACTCTGAAAAAATTTAGGGAACTGCCAGTGATCTGTGGACCACACAGGGAAAATTACTGCTGCAAAGGATTGTCCCTGCCTGCAATGTCCTCTACTTCACTGCAGGCTATGGGTTCACTGTTTAGGAGAAGTAGTACCTACCTTCTAAAAGCATCTCTTAATGAACCCGCTTCATTACTCTCTTTCTAGCACTTATCTGTACTTTGTTTTTCTTTTCTTGTTTTTTTGAGACTGAGTTTCCCTCTTGTTGCCCAGGCTGGAGTACAATGGCACGATTTTGACTCACTGCAACCTCTGCCTCCCGAGTTTAAGCGATTCTCCTGCCTCAGCCTCCCAAGTAGCTGGGATTACAGGCATGCACCACCACGCCTGGCTAATTTTGTATTTTTAGTAGAGGCAGGGTTTCACCATGTTGGTTAGGCTGGTCTTGAACTCCCAGCCTCAGGTGATCCACCTGCCTCGGCCTCCCAAAGTGCTGGGATTACAGGCATGAGCCACTGCACCAGGCCTGTACTGTTTTTCTACTGGAACTTCTATAGGTTCATTGAGGGCAGGGGCTTTATTTTACCTTTTTAAGAACACCTAGTGCCTAGCACAGTAATGTGCACATGACAAGTATATATAAAACAGTTGTTCAATATAATTTATGGGAAATAATGCAGGCTCTTGGGGCCAGATAACCTGTATTTAAATCCTCACACTGACATTTATTAGTTGTGTGATCTTGGACAAGTAATCTTGAATCTCTCTAAGCCTCAATTTCTTCATCTGTAAAAGAGGAGTAATAACGATACCTATTTCACATGGCGGCTATGGTAACTCAATGGAGTTAACACATAAAAAGTGCTTCAAACAATATCTGGTACAAAGTAGGCACTCAAATATATTAGTTTTGTTGTTACTATTAAGTAGTTATTGCCCCTATATATGTATTTCAAAAAATTATTTAAGGACTGATATTTTGATTTAAAAGAAGGTAGCTCTAAATTATGTTTGAAGAGTGTATAAGGGGAAATAAATGTATTTTATTTTCCTAATTATCCAGTTAGGAAAACCTTATATTTAAGTGAAAGACTCAATAACATGCTATGTCTCCTAAGTAAATGATTCTAATTACATCAAACTAAGAAAAAGAAAAGTATTTACATTATACGGAAGAATGTTGGAGAAATGAATTCTGTTACCTAAACTGATGTATTAACTCAGTATTTTTAATAGCGTATGTCTAACACCTTAGACCACCTATACGCCTTTAGAACAACTATAAGCCTTCCCCACCACTAGAAAGCACTTGCTAGTAAGTGTTTGTATCCATAATATACCAATAGAGGTGACAGAAACAGAGAGAGAATTATTTCCTACCCTTAAGAATAATACAATCCAACAGGTAGTTAGAATATGTACACAAATATAAACATCATATCTGAAGAGTATTCACTAAAGCTTGTCTACTTCAAATTCTTTGGTTATTTATACCCACTGCCATTTAGAAAAGTATCTAAAGATACAGGAACTGAGGTCCTTTTTTCTCTGCAGGCAGGCCCAGAGATGATCAAGTGTCTGCAGGCCCAGGTGGTAGACCCCTAACTGCTTACCTCTTTTGCTAATGCACAGTATGGGACCAACTGACTATCAAAATAAGCTCTCATCTTAAGAGCAGAAGCTTCTAGCCCAAGGTTAAAATCGATTTCTAAAACACATTTTAAAAATAAAAATTTCAGATTTTAATGCTCAGTTCTCATTTTTGTACAAGTTCTTTTCTTTTTGTTCTCTCCAACAATCTAAGACCATCCAACATAAGCGAAATATACTTAAATGGAGCTGTAGCTCACAGCAACAAACAGTACAAATAGGGACAACTGATCTTAAAAGACTTATGATGGTTAAAAATAATTACTTCGGCTGGATGTGGTGGCTCACTTCTGTAATCCCAGCACTCTGGGATGCTGAGGTGGGAGAATTGCTTGAGCCCAGTAGTTCCAGACCAGCCAGAGCAAGACACAGGGAGACCCTGTCTCTACAAATAATAAAAAAAAAATTAGCCGGGTGTGGGGGTACACGCCTGTAGTCCCAGCTACTCGTGGCGGCTGAGGCAGGAGGACCATCTGAGCCTGGGAGGCAGAGGCTGCAATGAGCTGAGACCATGCCACTGCACTCCAGCCTGGGTGACAGAGTGAGACCCTACCTCAAAGACCCCCTTCCCCCACCCCCCAAAAAAGGTAATTAGGTAACTATTTAAACAAGTAATTTCCAAAGCATTTCTTAATTTATTCTCACTACAACCCTGTACAGTCAGGTCAAGTATAAACTTCATTTGATAGATGAGGAAACTGAAATTGGAGGTAAAATGATTTATTCAAGACAATTATTACAATAAGGATGGCACAATCTTTGTGCTACCTCTTATCTTACTCATCCAACCAGCTGTCAAATCCTCTATATTCTACCTTCATAATGTCTCCTGAATTCATTCCCCCTCTACATAACCACTTAAGACTGTTTCCTAATCGTCTGCCTGCTCCTCTATTCACCCTGCATACGCTGTGACAGATCAATCTTCTCCGAGCACAATTCTGCTCACTTCATTTACTTGCTCAAAATCTTTAATAAAGTCCATATTTCTCAGCCTGGCATTCAAATACTCTTCCCAATTTATACTCAACTGACACTTATTCCACCTTATTTCCCACTAGTCTCTGCCAAACACCTAAAGCTTCAATCAAGTAGAAACCTATGCTTTTATCCCGAGGCATTTTGATCCTTCTCATCACTTCAACTTTGTATTGAGAACTGACGTTCTTAACTCTTCCCACTACCATCTATGCTTACTCGAATTCTAATTACCATTAATACAAGGCCCAGATCAATGCTGTATTCACCAAGACGCCTCAGCTTCTCTCTCCTCAGAACTGCCATAATACAATTGTACCTAGTTTTTTTTTTTTCCCCCAAGAAGCATTTACTGAGTTCTATTAAGTGTCAGGCACTGTGACAAGTCAGGGAATGCAAAGATGAAAAATGACTTTTTCTTTAAAAGTTTAAAACTTAGGAAGACAAAAGTCAATTTAAAAATCACAATTTATATGTTACATAAACAGCAGTCAGCTTACGGTTCTACTTGAGCCTAAATGAAGGACACACGAATTTGGCTTTGCCTAGAAAAGTCCAGGAAGGCTTTTCAGCAGAGATAAGACTTAAACTGAGTGGGAAAAGATACTAAGTGCTTGCTAAGAGGACTAGTGAATATACACAGTACACCATCTTCTTTCACTACGTTGAATATGGGGAGTCGGAGTGGTAGAACGAAGATTACGGACTTAGAATTCCCCATCTGTAAAAACTCTAATATATCCCAAAGGGATATTTTATAAACCATAATAAAATATTGTTTGTGAAAGCAATTTTTAAACTGAAAAGTGAGATACAAATTTGAGGTATCATTAATAAATCTGTAAATAACAACGCTTCCTGTCTAACTTTTAGATTTAATTGGCCACATGAATTACTAGACCATTGTTTTTAATTGATGAGTAATCAAACTGGATAGACCATTTTAAGAGACATATAGGCAGATAGTAAGTTTAATAAAATAACCTAAATATTGTCAAATCTAGGTTTTACAATGTATTGCTCAACTGTTCAAACTCTCTATATACAACACATACACACACACACACACACACTCTCTCTCTCTCTCTCTCTCCCTCCCCCCGCCAAAAGTAAATAAATGGCTTATGAGCAGTGAATTCACCCTCACATTTAAAATGTACACTTTTGGGCCAGGCAGAGTGACTCACACCTGCAATCCCAGCACTTTGGGAGGCTGAGGTGGGTGGATCACTTGAGGTCAGGAGTTCGAGACCAACCTGGCCAACATGGTGAAACCTCGTCTCTACTAAAAATACAGAAATTAGCTGGGCATAGTGGCAGACACCTGTAACCCTAGCTACTCGGGAGGCTAAGGCAGGAGAATCGCTTGAACCTGGGAGGCTGAGGTTGCAGTGAGCTGAGATCACGCCACTGCACTCCAGCCTGGGTGACACAGTGAGACTCGGTCTCAAAAATAAGATCAAATAAAATAAAATGTACACTTAAAAAAAAAGCATCTTTCAACCAGAGCATCCTAAAAATTTCTCATTTTATTGTTAACAGCTTCCTGAAATTATAGAACTTGTGCTATCTCTGTTCACAGGCACAAATCAAAGGATTTTCCATTTTCTCTTCATCTATTTTTGGCAGCGATAAACTTATACTCTATACATATGGGTTATCTCTTTAGGAACTCAAATTGGTTGACATACAAAATTTCATGGTGAACAGTTTCTGGTATAAATGAGGAATGCAAGTCTTAACTATATATATAATGTAAATATATGTATATTTACATTAAGGAACAGAACTTGCCCTTAATCACTGTCATTAGAAATATACAACTGGAGATCTGAAACAACTGAAAATGGTAGCAATAAAGGAAAAAAGAGAAACAGAAATGGGCAATGATGAGGAGATATGTAGTAAGTAATTTAAAAATGCCATGCAATGATTCAGGGAAGAGACTTCTGGCTATGATGGTATGAACAGGTCAGTGAACTGTTTCCTCAAAAGGAAATGACAGTAAGAAAGTTGGACAAAGTTGTCAAAAACAGCCATTTCAGGATTCTAGAAATCAATCAATGGCAGACAGACAATAAATAGATGTCCTGAGAAATTGCTTAAACTTAGGGGCAAGAGCATCCAGACACAAACTTAATGCCTTAAAACTTAGTTTTATCAGGTGAGGGCTGGGACCATAAAAACCAGCAATTTTCACTGCCAGAGAGGGCAGATCTGACTTGGGACAAGGGGGAGATTGAAGGAGTGGTAGAAAATCCATAGCTCTGACAGCTAAAAGGGGCCAACCTGGTGGGAACCTAACAGGGAGAAGACATTCTTCTAGCTTGAGGCTGTGGTCTGAAGAGGGTGCAGTGGAAGACCAGCTAGAAATCTGAAGGGGAGATCCTGGAAAGAAAAGAGTCACAAAAGGGCCAGATATGGTCTCCTCACATCCCTGGGTGGCTGTGAAACTACATGGATGAGGAAGGGAGACATAAGAGGTCTCAACAGAAAGAAAACCCAAGGCAGGCTTAAGAACTGGCTGAACTTTCCATGCACTTCCCAATCAACCTGGATCATCAGAGGGTGAAAGCTCAATAAGCTTCAGGTGTTTGAACACCACCTCTGCACTAGTCACAGGCTAACCATTAAGCTAGGAAGACACGGGTGCCTCCTAGCCAGGCTAAAAACAATAAAACAACAAATGAAAATCAATAAGCAGAAACACTAGTGGCCGTATACTGTGTGGGAGTCACATGTCATAGTTTAAGTATGGGCAAATTACTTAAAACACACACACACACACACACACACACACACACATGCCCATCACAGAAAAATAAATAACACCCCACAGTCACTACAATGCATTACTAAAATGTCCAATTTTCATTAAAAAATTACAAGCATGCAAAGAAACAGAAAAGTGACCCAGATTCAAGAAAATAAGCAGTAACTAGAAACAGACTAAGGCCCAGATGTTGGATTTAGCAGACAACGTTAAAGCAGTAAATACAAATATATTTTTAAAATTAAGGCTGGGCATGGTGTCTCACACCTGTAATCCCAGCATGTTAGGCAGCTGAGGCGAGAGAACTCCTTGAGCCCAGGAGTTCAAGACTAGCCTGGGTAACATAGCGAGACCCTGCCTCTACAAAAAAATACAAAAATTAGCTGGGTTTGGTTGCATGTGCCTGTAGTACCAGCTACTCAGGAGGCTGAGGCAGGAAGATCACTTGCGCCCAGCAGGTCAAGGCTGCAGTGAGCTGTGATTACACCTCTGCACTCCAGCCTGGGTGACAAAGTGAGACCCTATCTCAAAAAATAATAATAAAAATTAAAGAAAAATATGAGAAGAAATCTCAGTAGAAAAATGTAAATGGAAATTCCAGAGTTGAAAAGTATAATAACTGAAAGAAAAAAAATCACTAGATGGGCTCAACAGCAGATTTGGGATGGCAGAACAAAGAAGGAGTGAACTGAAAAAGAGACCACCAGAAATTATCCAATCTAAAGAACAGAAGGAAAAAAGATCCAAGAAAAATGAATAGAACTTCAGATTTTGTTTAGGTTCAGACTGAATTTTTTTAAGAAACAAAAACCCCTATGGGAGAACACCAAGTATTTTAATTTATGTGTTGGCTGGGCGCAGTGGCTCATGCCTGTAATCCCAGCACTTTGGGAGGCCGAGGCAGGCAGATCATGAGGTCAGGTGTTTGAGACCAGCCTGGCCAACATGGTGAAACCCCATCTCTACTAAAAATACAAAAATGAGCTGGGCATGGTGGTGCATGCCCATAATCCCAGCTACTTGGGAGGCTGAGGCAGGAGAATTGGTCGAACCTGGGAGGCAGAGGTTGTACTGAGCCGAGATTGCACCACTGCACTCCAGCCTGGGCAACAGAGCAAGACTTCATCTCGGGGGAAAAGAAAATTATGTGTAATCAGAGGCCCAGGAAGAGAGAAGAAAGGAAAAAAAAATTTGAAGAAATTATGGTGAAAAACATCCCAAATTTGATGAATATATATTTCAAAATCTCAAGAGAACCCAAGTATGATAAAAACAAAGAGATCCACTCCTAGACACATCATAGAGAAACGGCTCAAAGCCAAAGACAAACAGAAAATCTTGAAATCAGCAAGAGAAGAACAACTCATCACCTACAGGGGGACCAACACCAGGGTTAACAGCTGACTTCTCATCACAATCAGCTGACTCCCATGGGAGTGGTCCATGGGATGACATATTTAAAGGGCTGGGGGGTGGAGGAAGAAACTGTCAACCAAGAATCCTATAGCTAACAAAACTATCATTCAAAACTGAACACATAAAAAAACAACATTCCCAGATAAACAAAAACAGTATTTGTTTCCAGCAGGCCTAAAAAAAAATACTAAAAGAAGTCCTTTGGACTGAAAGGAAATGACACTGCATAATAACTTGGACCTATAGGAAGACATGAAGATCACTAAAAATAGTCAAAAAATAAAATAAAATGAATCCTGTCAAGAAACTGAAAAAAGCCACAGACTGGGAGAAAATACTTGGAAAAGACTTATCTGATAACGGACTGTTATCCAAAATATACAAAGAATTCTAAAATCTAATAATAAGAAAACAAACAACCTGATTAAAAAGTAAGACAAAGGCTGGGCGCGGTGGCTCACGCCTGTAATCCCAGCACTTTGGGAGGCCGAGGCGGGCGGATCACGAGGTCAGGAGATCGAGACCATCCTGGCTAACACAGTGAAACCCCGTCTCTACTAAAAAAAACACAAAAAATTAGCCGGGCGTGGTGGCGGGCACCTGTAGTCCCAGCTATGCGGGAGGCTGAGGCAGGAGAATGGCGTGAACCCGGGAGGCGGAGCTTGCAGTGAGCCGAGATCGCGCCACTGCACTCCAGCCTGGGCGACAGAGCGAGACTCCGTCTCAAAAAAAAAAAAAAAAAAAAAAAAGTAAGACAAAGACCTTACCAGATACCTCACCAAATAAGATATAAAGATAGCAAATAACCACATGGAAGGATATTCCATGTCATATGTCATCAGGGAAATGCAAACTAAAACAACAATGAGATACAACTACATATCTATTAGAATGGCCAAAATCCAGACACCAAATGCTGGCGAGGATGTGGAGCAGCAGGAACTCTCATTCATTGCTGGTGGAAATGCAAAACGGTAGAGCCACTCTGGAATGTAGTTTGGTGGTTTCTTATAAAATTAAACATACTCTTATCATATGATCCAGCAATCATGGCCCTTGGTATTTACCCCAAGAAGTTCAAAACTAAGTCCACAAAAAACCCTGCATATGAATGTTTACAGTAGCTTTATTCATAACTGCCAAAATCTGGAAGCAACCAAGATGCCCTTAAATTGGTCAATGGATAAACAAACTGTGGTACATACAGACCAATGGGTTATTATTCAGTGCTGAAAAAGAAATGAACTATTAGGACTTGAAAAGACACAGAGGAAACTTAAATGCATATTACTAAGTGAAAGAAGCCAATCAGAAAAAAGCTACATACTGTGGGATTACAACTACATGAAATCCTGAAAAAGGAAAAACTATGCAGATAGTTAAAAGATCAGTGGTTGCCAGGGGTTGGGTTGTGGGGAGGAGAGAGGGATAAACAAGCAGACCACAGAGGATTTTTAGGACAGTGAAATTACTTTTTGTGATGCTATAATGCTGGCTATATGCTATACATTTATCCAAACCCACAGAACGTACACCAGTAAGAGTAAACTCTAACAGACTTTAGGTGATAAAGATGTATCAATACAGGTTCATCAATGGTAACAGGTGTACCACTCTGGTGTGCAATGTTGTTAGTGGGGGAGGCCATGCATGTGTGGGAACAGAAAGTATATGGGATAAGTCTGTACTATCTTCTCAGTTTACTGTGAACCTAAAACTGCTCTAAAAAAGGAGATCTTAAAAAAAAAAACAACGTAAGATTGTTTAAAGTAATAATTATAATAGTGTATTGTTATATATCTAAAATATACAGGTATAATATGTATGACAATAGCACAAAGGCGCGTGGGGAATGAAGCTATATTAGACCTAAGCTGCTATATTTAACCAGAATAAGACACACATGCATGTGCACACACACAACCATTAGTAATAAGTTGTGATAAGTCAAAGATGTAATTCCTTGAGAAAGCACTAAGAAAATACAAGAAACACCAGCACAAACAAAAAATAACTAAAGAAAAAATATCACAAATGGATGTAAAAGGTACAAAAATTATTTAACAGGAATCAGTAAAGAAGGAACAAAGGAACAATAAAAGGCATGAGACAGTAAAATGACAGACATAAATCTACCTACATTAATAATTACATTAAGATGCAAATTGACCAAATGCTCCAATAAAAAGACAGAAATTTTCAGACTGGATGAAGAAGCAAGAAGCAGGATCTAGCTGTGCACTTTTTTCGGGGAGTGGGGGACGGAGTCTCACTCTGTGGGCCAGGCTGGAGTGCAGTGGCATGATCTCAGTTCACTGCAACCTCCGCCTCCCCAGTTCAAGCGATTCTCCTACCTCAGCCTCTGAGTAGCTGGGATTACAGGCGCACACCACCACGCCCGGCTAATTTTTGTATTTTTAGTAAGGACAGGGTTTCACCATGTTGGTCAGGCTGGTCTGAAACTCCTGACCTCAGATGATCCAGCTGCCTCGGCCTCCCAAAGTGTTGGGATTACAGGCGTGAGCCACCCCACCTGGCCCTTTCTTTTTTAAATTTTGTTAAATAAGAGATATACTTCAGATACAAAGCAGTTGAAACAAAATGACAGAAAAAAATATGTAAACAGTAACTATGAGAAGGCTGAAGTGATTACATTAATATCAGACAAATAGTTTTACTATTTCTTGGTTAACTATAAGCCAAGAAATAGTAAAAGAGACAAAGAGGGACATTTCATATTGATGAAAAAACCAATTGGTTAAGAATATTTTGTTGGAAAGACTGTCTAGTAAACCATAAAACAAGTCTCAATAAATTAAAAAAAATTGAGATCATGTGAAGCGCCAAAGAAATTAAATTATAAATCAATAAAAGAAAGAAATTTGGGGGAAATCCCCAAACATTTGGAAAGGAAACAACATACTCCTATGCAACCCAGGAGCAAAGAAGAAACCACAGGAAAAATTTTTAAAATGTCTCGAACGAAAAAAAAATAAAAACAATATAGATCATATTTTACGGTATGCAGCTAAAGGGAAACTTTCTGTGTTTACAGTTTTAAACACAAAAAGGAAGAAAATCTAAAATCAATCACCTAAGCTTGCAACTCAAGAGGCTGGCAAAATAAAGACCAAATCAAACCCAAAGCAAGTAGAAGAAAGAAATAATAACAGAGTGGAAACTAATGAAAAATAAAATAGAAAAACAACAAAAATCAATGAAAAAAAAAGTTGGTTTCCTGGAAAAATCTGCAAAATTAATAAACCTTAGCTAGACTGACCAATAAAAAAAGAGAGAAGACACAAATTGCCAAATCAAGAATATAAACAGGGATATCACCACAGACCCTACAAAAATTAAAACGATTATATGAAATTATGAATAACTTTATACCAACAAAATTGACAATTTATATGAAGCAAATTGCTAAAAAGACACAAATTACCCAAACTAACAAGAAACAGAGAATAAAAATGAAAAAAAAACCCTGATAATTAGTATAGAAATTTATTAATTAAAACACCTTGGAAAATCCTCACATATATTTTATTTCTTCTTTTTCACTTCTTTAATTGAAACAGTTATTCTGATAGGTCTGTGAGTTCATGATCATTAAAAAGTTATTTGGAAATGCAGTCAATACATCAGCCTGTACGTTTATGATTCTAGAACAAATGCTACTGAAAGTCTCGTTTGTTACCTATCAAGCCTAGACTCTTAAATTATCTATTGTAGCCAATTATTTCTGAAGTATAAAATTATGTGCTTATACATAACTAATAAACATCGAAAGTAGGAATTTCTTGGTGGTTCAATACTTGATGAAAGAAAATTGAAAGCATTTATGGGTTAAATCCATCCTTAGCAAGTGGCTTAAAGGCTGAGTAAAGCTCTCCTTTTCATAACCAGATATAGGAAAGAGAAAAAGAAATCTAACGACAGAGCTAGGTCTTTCTATGCAGACTGTAGAACATTTCTATCTTTAGAAATAGACCACACAAGGCTGGGCATGGTGGCTCATGCCTCTAATCCCAGCACTTTGGGAGACCATGGTAGGAGGATAGAGTGACAGGAGTTCAAAATAAGCTTGGACAACAACAAAAGGAGACCCTGTCTCTACAAAAAAAATTAAAAAATGAGCTGGGCGTGGGGTGTGTGCTTGTAGTCCCAGCTAGATGGGAGGCTGAGGCAGGAGGATCACTTGAGCCCAGGAGACTGAGGTTGCAGTGAGCTAGCTATGTTCATGCCACTGCACTCCAGCCTGGACAACAAAGCAAGAGACAATACAATTTCCCATATGTTGGTATGTATGAGATATATACCTATTATTAATTTATGACATTTCCTTTACTTTAGCAAGTTAGTAGTAAGAGGTGAAGTCAAAGAGGTAAGCTGGGGCTAGAGACTAGTAAACCAAGTACGGAGTTCAGATTATATTCTAATTGCATTAGGGAACTATTAAGAGTTAAGTAGGAAATCGGCATTTGCATTAAAAAAAAAAAAAAACCACCTTAGTCCTATGTGGAGGATAGATAAGTTAGGCAACAGTAATACCGGAAATAAGTGATGAGGTTTGGACTAGAGCAGTGATGATGATAAATTCTTTTAAATTTCCTAACAGCCTCTTCAGGTAGGTACTATTATCTTCATTTTAGAGTGAGCCAAGGGCAGAGAGATTAAATAACTGGTCCAAGGTCACACAGTTTAGTAGGGGCCATATTGAGATTCAAACACAAGCAATTTGGTGGAAGAGTAATAAGATGTAGAGAAGAAGACGAAGTAGTTTTAGAGTTATGGTTGTCAAGACTTGCTAATCAATTAGATGTACAGATGAAAGAAAGAAAGAAAGAATATTCCTAGGTTTTGCTTGAGTTTGGTAGTATAATTATGCAGAGAAAGGATATAAAATAAAAAGAAAAGGGGTTCCAGGACCTACATATGGAGTACTGCACCATTTAAAAGTTGAACAGAGAAGGAGGCAGGAGCAGAACACCCAGTGCTTGGCAGGAAAATTGGGAGAGCTCGAAAAGCCAAGAGACTAAGTATTTCTAGGAGGAGGGAGGACAATGTATACAATGCTGTTGAGAGAAGGTGTAAATGAGAACAGGTGTAAATGCTAAATTAATTCCGAGAGTCTTCTAATTGTATAATTAAGGCGACAATTTCTATATGATTGCCATGCATCCTTCCATTTTTCACCTCATGGTCCACGTACCGTAAGAGATCCATTTTGTGTGCTGGGTGAGTTGCTGCTCTGCTCCCCGTGGGCTTGCGTACTTCCGTAGAGTGTCAGGTTATGCTCACCGGTCTGGCCGGCATAGTCTTGAGTGTGTGGCACCCCATACTCTGTGGGAATTCCATTCTGCGGAGGTGGTGGAAATGGGATGGTAGTAAAAGGCTGAACCATTGCGTCAGGAGTTGTTGTCGGCTCCTGGTTACCCTAAAACAAACAACAAGAGAAAGAAAAAGTGACTTTGAATCCTTGTTACGTAACTATTTTTAAAGTGAGTATATGGAATTCTCTGAATATTCTCTCACTGCATAGGTAAAATGGAATGCTTATTGCTCCAGGATTGGAGAAAATATTATTACACATACACACATAGATATATGTATGTGGACAGACACACACACACACACACACACACACACACACACACTCACTTTTGTTAATGTGTAGTTACTAGACAGGCCCACAACCATATTTAAGTGGACTAGATGCCAAAGGGGCAAAAATCTTTCCTTTAAATTAAAAGTAGGTGGAGAGCCCACTTTGGACCACAAGCCACTACAGCCTATACCACAGAGAGAGACTCTGTCCCTAAAAAATACGAAAAACAAAAAAGAAAAATCAACTAGGAGAAAATATTAGCAAAAGGTAAGAGAGATGCTGGGTTATTATCACTAGTCCCAGAGTGGGTTAACCAAGTTGACAAGACAGACACACATGTACACACAAACACACACACATCCCAAGAGAAAAACAGGCAAACTGTGTATCTGAACAATTCATTGAAAATGAAATACAAACAACTAATAAAAATGCTCAACCTCACTAACTGTCACGAAAATTCACATTAACATCAAAGTAAGTCCAAGTCTTTAGTCATCAAATCAGCAAAAAAATTAAGCAGTTTTATTATGATATAACTGTCATATGATAAACAGCACTTATTTATTTACAGTATACAATTTGGTAAGTTTTGATATATGCACTTATATTCTCATGAAATCATCACCACAATCAAGATAGTCAACACATATATCCAAAACCCCCAAAAGTTTCCTTGTGCCCCAATAATAAACATATATTACTTTTGTAATAAAACCTATACAAATATATTGTTTTTAATACTAAAGAGAATGACAAAAAATATATCATCAATAAGGGGAAGCCAATATTCTGAAACACTGAATTACTGTGTTACTCTTAAGAGAATGGTAGTGACCTACCTTGAAACAAAAATTCATAACTCTCTTCCATTTAAAAGTTAAACAACTTCAAAATTCAGCTGTCTCCAATGTCCAAGAATCATTTCTACTTGGTAATAAAAACTGCTTTACACAATAGTGGTGAAAGAAAAAAGGCAGAGAATTGGGGGTGGGGGGCTGCCACAGTCTAGATAAAAAGTGATGAACTGATTACAGTTATCAGTGGGAAGGGGCAGAGTCATAGACTGAGTTGTGCTCAGTCTCCAACCCGTATGTTGAAGTTCTAACCCTCAGTACCTCAAAATGTCACTGTTTTTAAAGATAAGGTCTTTAAAAAGGTAATTAAAGTGATGTCATGAGGGTGGGCCTTAATCCAATTGGAGTGGTGTCCTTATAAGAAAAGGGAATGTGGATACAGACACATACAGAGGGAGGCCCATGTGAAGACACAGAGCATGACCATCTACAAGCCAACAAAAAAGACATCAGAAGAAACCAACCCTGCTGACACCCTGATCTTGCACTTCTAGCCTCCAGAATGGTAAGAAAATACATTGCTATATTGTTATGTAATACTTTCTTATGGCAGCCCTTGCAAACTGGTAAAGGCAGGAATGAAGATTCTGTAACAGAAATTAATAATAAAAATAAAAATAAATTGCTTTACATAAAAATTTTCCTGCTATTGGACATAATGGTTCATGCCCTTGTAATCCCAGCACTTTGGGAGGCTGAGATGGGAGGACTGCCTGCGGCTAGGAGTTCAAGATCAGCCTGGCCAACACAAAGAGACCCTGTCTCTAGAAAAACTTTAAAAAATTAGCTGGGCATGGTGGTATGTGTAGTCCCAGCTACTTGTGAGGCTGAGAAAGGAGGACTGCTTGAGCCCAGGAGCTGGAGGCTGCAGTGAGCCATGATTGCATCACCCTAGCCTGGGCAACAGAAAGACCACGTCTCTTAAGGGAAAAAAAAAAAAAAAAAAGGCTGGGTGTGGTGGCTCACTTCTGTAATCCCAGCACCTTGTGAGGCTGAGGCGGGCAGATCACTTGAGGTCAGGAGTTCAATACCAGCCTGGCCAACATGGTGAAACTCCATCCCTATTAAAAATACAAAAATTAGCCAAGCATGGTGCCAAATGCCTTTAATCTCAGATATCTTGGAAGCTGAGGCAGGAGAATCGCTTGAACTCAGGAGGAGGACATTGCAGTGAACTGACATCGCTGCCATTAAACTCTAGCCCGGGCAACAGAGTGAGTGAGACTCCATCTCAAAAGATAGAAAAAAAAAAAAACCCCTCTCTTTAGTTCTTAGAAAATATGTTATGAAAACTTTAAATTTTTTTGGAAAAAGTCTATCTTCGTCACCCATCACCATATAACTTCTTTACGTTATTTCTAGGTTAGGATAGTTTTTATGATGTCTTTATAGCTATTCTGGGCATCTGACGAGAGATATAAAATAGTTATCTCCCTTCCCCTTCAAATTATTCAATGCTCTATCTCTCTGTCTCTCTCTAGCCATATGAAACATACTGCTTCAGAAGCCCTCGCTGAATCTACTGGCCTGAAGACAGACATGAAAAAGAATTGAATTGGAATTCAGGTGGACTGGTGAATGAAACACAATAAGAGCACCAAAGGTCTTATGCCCACATCAGGCATAAATATAATCTCACAGGAATCCATAAGAAAGTTCTACTAAATAATTGGTAAAAGCTAAAAGATAGAGTTTTCAAGTTAGGATTAACAAGGCCAAGGCGACTTTCTCCTGCTCTGACACTGCTCCTTTCAGCCTCCTCGTTTTACTCCAGCCTCCATTCTCCACCCCAGCCTGCTGGGAATGAGACTCTGGCACACAAGTACACAGTATGAATTCTCTCACAGCGTTATTCTCAACAGGGCTGACTCAGATAACTGAATAAACACATCAATTAGCAGTGGGAGATGGGGAGAAAGGTAAAAACATTTCCTGCAATCCACTTGTAGCCTAGGCACTAGGCGTTTTACAGAAATGCAAGCCAGGCAGAGGCTCTGTTTTCCTAGAGGGGTTATGTACCTCCCTTAAGAGGTCAAGAAGAAATTCTTAGTGGATTATTTTGTTACTTACAGAAATTTCTTTTAAAATTTTTGTTAAAAATGTAACAACAATTGTTTATATATTAAGGGAATGAAATTGGGATAGGAGTGATTTAACATTTTCTCTCATATAGCATGCAATGTCTGAATATTTCCCCAAGTATACATTATTAAAAATGTCAAATGGTTTCAGATTTGTATTAAATTTCCAGGCCATATTCCAAAGTTCTATGCTCAGAAGAGAAGTACAACAGCCTTCAGCAAACTATGAGATAACAGTTCACATGAGTATTTCTAGGTATGAATTTACCTCTATACTTATATAAAAATGTTTTGTTTCTATTACCAGAGGCTAAGCTGCTTAAGTATATCTCATCTGAGAAAAGAAATTACTAGCTTTCTCTTTAGTCCACAAGGCTAGACAGAATAGCTCTTTTCCCTAACCTAGCAATTTATAAACTTTCTTCTGTTTCCAGTTAAAAGTAATTCCTTCCTTTCCTATATTCTTATAACATTTAGCTTGCATCCCCTATAAGACATTGAAATCTAAAGCCTCATACTTAGCAAACGTAAATATGTATTTTAACTCCCCTATTAGATTAAAAGGCTCATTATGATGGGTGGAGACAGTCCTGTACAATGTAGAATCCCACATCGTACATAATAAATATGAAGTGTTAAACATTTATGAAATAGAGGAAGACTGAGATAGAAAGTCAGGTGTGTGCACATTACAGCAAACTGCTTTGTTGGGCTAGAGAGCATAACAAGGGATAACACAGAGTGAAACAAGTGTTGGTATCTTGGGTTGATATCAAACTGGAGTGCAGGGATGGGAAAGTAGAAGTGGGGAAGCATTAGGAAAGCAAAGAATCAACATTTACATGCTTGTGCTTTATGCACTTAATTTCCTTCTGTCTTACAAACACAGGCTTTAAGAGTTGTTGACCAGCTGTGAGTGAAAATCAAATGTAACTATTAATTTCTGAGTTGAGAATGATGTCTTTCTCTTTTAAACCACAGATAGTAACAGAGGCGATACATATTATATACAGCCTTTTGGTGTACAATGTGAAATATGCTAAATGTTTTCATTCTGAATTCAAACATACAGTTGTCCCTTCATATCTGCAGGTAATTGGTTCCAGGAACCTCCCAGCCCCCGCCCACCACAGATGCCAAAATCCTTGGATACTCAAGCCCTTTATATAAAATGGCATAGTATTTGCATATAACCTACTTACACACATCCTCTTGTGTACTTTAAATCATCTCTATATTACTTATAATACCTAGTACAATGTAAATGTTATGTAAATAGTTGTTATGCTGTAGTGTTTAGAAAATAATGACAAGGCCCTGCATGGTGGCTCATGCCTGTAATTCCAGATCTTTGGGAGGCTGAGGAGGGAGGATCACTTGAGCCCAGGAGTTTGAGACCAACCTAGGCAACATAGTGGGATCCTGTCTCCACAAAAAATTTTTAAAAATTAGCTGGGCATGGTAGCATGTGCCTGTAGTCCCAGTTGCTCAGGAGGCTGAGACAAGAGGATCACTTGAGCTTGGGAGATAGAGGCTGTGGCGAGCTATGATTATGGCACTGCATTCCAGCCTGGGCGACAGAGTGGAACCCTGTCTCAAAAAAAAAAAAAAAAAAAAAAAAAAGAAAAGAAAAGAAAAAAGTGTCAAGAAAAAAGAGTCTGGTCAGGCCAGTGGCTCACAGCTGTAATCCTAATGCTTTGGGAGGCCAAGGAGGGAGGATCTCTTGAGCTCAGGAGTTTGAGACCAACCTGGGCAATGGGAGACCCTGTCTCCTAAAAAGAAACAATGTCTGTACATGTTTAGTACAGACACAGTCATCCAATTTCCCACCCTAATTTTTCAATCCGCAGCTACTTGAATCCACAGATGCAGAACCCGTGGCTATGGACAGACAACTATAGTATTACAGTCGTCAAACAGGAACCCATTCAACAGTCTATTGCCTTACCCACAGCAATCTCAGAGGTTCAATCATCACCTACCGACAGGTGACTTTCAGTGTTTTTTCTAGGTCCAACCATGTGCCTTCTCCCCAGTTTACATGGAATGTAGTAAAACAGAAGAAAGCATGAACCTAAAAGTCAGACTTGAGTTTAAATTCCAATTATACCACTTACCAGATGGGTTGTTTACTTCAGAGGTGGGTGTGAAAATTAATTGAGAGAGCAGGTGAAACTGTTTTGTTACTGATTCTTTAGCATATTTTCTGTTCCTACTGAATTATTCTGAATATTATTTAAAACCTATGCACAGTACTGTAAGAGAACACAGAAATGACCCAAAATATAATTGTCTTCATATTTCTAGGATAACTAAAGTCTATGTAATCTTTGAGAGAGAAGGGTGTATTTTTGTTTATATCTTCTCATTTATTCCTCAACTTCATTCTAATTTTCTCAGTTTGGTCACCTTGAGTCCCACTTATATACATAAACTGCTATTGTATTGCTTCTAATCAACAGGCTGCAAATCCTAAAAGCTTCTCAATTCCCATACCACATATATGGTCAGAATGGATCATGCACACAAACAGATCAATATTAATTTTATTCACACCATCATAAAAGAATCACTTCATTATTTTGGTAGAGCATATTCTCACCAGTTTATTACCACTGACAATGTCACTAATAGTTTTTCTAGTGCTATTTATAAATGGAAATTAATTTTCTAGGATTATAATACAAATAAAATGTTTTTACTTTTAAGTATTTTTACAAATTATATCATTTTGATCCCTTGGGATTTGCTTAGATGGGCTCAGATTTCAAACTCTATTTGCCTTTGTTTAAAAAAAAAGAGTACCTAGGCAAAGGCCTGTCATTCTCAGATCTGGTACTAAAAGCAGTGGCTTCTGCCCAGCTGTCTGTGACAAGAGGAAAATAACAGCTATATAACTGTTCTCTCAGAAAGATAAGAAGACAACACTGGATTTAAAATCATCTAGGATCCGTTTTTTTAAAAAAATTAACTCTGTAGAAGAACAGACCAGGAAAATCCAGATAAATAAATCAGATAAACACATACAAAGACAAAACAATGCTCATTTGCAAGACTTAAAGCAAAATTACTCTAGATTCTTAACTTACACAAATACTTAAATCCCAAATCTCCTTCCTTCAGTATCTAAAATATTCTCGTTTTTTGTTTTGTTTTGTTTTGTTTTTAAGTCTAAAGACAACCAAGCTATTGAACTGTTCTTAACTTTTTTTTTAAACTACCATAACCTAGAGGAGAGCTGTAGGGTAGAATTGTTTTGCTTTTCTCACCTCAAGAAAGTTTCACAATTTTGAGCACCCAGAGCAGACAAAAGTGTTAAGTGTCTAATAATCCTGAATACATTTCTGGTAAGTTAGGTAAAAGTAATACATTTTCTCTTTTACAATACATCTGAACTACACTCAGAGCCATAAGATGTTAGGCAACTTGTAGGTAAATGTGATGTTGAGAGGAAAAATCTATACAATGAAATCTCCATGTAGTCTCCAAATATTTACCTTCAGGTTGAATTCTAAGAGTTCGCTTTTCACTTGGTTGTCTGGAACTTACTGAATGGCCAAGATCCCAAGGAAGCTCATGGAAACAGATTCAATGATTATATAATAAGGATTACTGTAATAAAAACCAATCGCCATTGAAGTATTAGTTTAAGAAAAAAATGTCTAATTTCGGGTAAGGAGTTCAGACACACCCATTCCTGCTTCAGTCTCAACAGTAAGATGCAGTAAGAAACTACTTCCATACAACCCAGCTCCTCACACCTACCAACTCATCTTTTACCTTGTTCTTTGAAAGCAAAGATGACCATATTTTATTGCGTATAACACCCATTCAGGGAACATATTTAAAAATGCACATGTCAAGATCCTTTCCCCATAGATTAGGATTCAGTGGGTTGGAACAGGACCCTGGTACTTACTGGTGTAGATGGTTTGGGTCCCACATTCTGAGAAACACTGACTTAGAGGCTTTGGCTGGCAAAATGGGAGAGAATTATGGTTACAGCATGCCTCCAGGACATGTCCTGAAGCATCTACACCTTTAGAAGAACAGAGTCAGTTAAGAGATTAAAGAGGGCATAGAGGCTAGGCCCCATGGCTCCCAAGGTAATTCCAGCACCTTGGGAGGCTGAGGCATGCAGATCACATGAGGTCAGGAGTTCAAGACCAGCCTGGCCAACGTGGTGAAACTCCATCTCTACTAAAAATACAAAAACAGCCAGGTGTGATGGTGCACGTCTGTAATCCCAGCTACCTGGGAGGCTGAAGCACGAGAATCACTTGAACATCGGAGGCAGAGGTTGC
Organism: Homo sapiens; assembly: GCF_000001405.40. Classification (NCBI taxonomy): domain Eukaryota; kingdom Metazoa; phylum Chordata; class Mammalia; order Primates; family Hominidae; genus Homo; species Homo sapiens. The sequence continues at coordinate 138,416 of NT_187630.1, forward strand.
AGTGAGCCAAGATCGCGCCACTGCACTCCAGCCTGGACAACAGAGTAAGACTTTGTCTCAAAATAAATAAATAAATAAATAAATAAATAAATAAAAAGAGAGCATAGATGATGAGAGGAAGGCAACAGTGGCTATAAATGTAAGTTTCCTAAAAGTAGAGGGTTACCTTCTTATATGGAACCTGCAGCTAAGAGAATAAACACTAGTTGTTTTCTAAAGTGCAAATCTACTGAAATGTAGGCCTCACAATGGATCCTTCTTTTAGCGTGGGTATAACTAAAGAATCAGGACCAAAAGATGAGTGTGCTGCAGTCATGTAAGGGGGCGTTGGAATTCAGGAACACGACCAGTACAATCTTGAGCTCTTATAAACAGACAATTAATAAAATAAATTTTTAAAAAACCAGGCAATACAATATAAATCCTTGCTTAGAATACCAATAAATGACACAAGCTGGTATATGTAAATTTAAGGGCAGTTACAGGCTTGGCCAACAAGAATATTGTAAACTTGCCTCCAAATCACTTGTCAACACACACACACACACACACACACACACACACACACCCCTCTTCTGAATTACTCAGAGGGAAAAGCCAGTCCGGTCTTTCCCTTGAGGCTGAGTTTTGAAATCTCACAGCAATGAATATTTAAACAGGAAAATAAATATTTCAGAACAAAGTCATTCAAACCTATAGTCTATTAGGTGAAAAGCAACAAACCCTGTAATAGTCTTAATATTTCCAACCTCTTAAAAGCTCTTTCCTCTATTTCTCCTTAAACAAGTATTTAGAACCTCAAACATTCATGAATCATGTCTTCCACTGGCAACAACAGACAGCAAGAACTACTCTGGTTCAGCTACCTGCTTCTTTGGAAATGGAAGGCCCTTACAATTAATAGTTAACTGTCTGTTCTATTCAATGTAAATATTCTATTCCAATGGATTTACACAATCCATGGAAAATTATTCTTTTTCTCAACCAAACTTTTCACTACAATCTAAATTAATTTATTATTTTGTCATCATGGACAATTAAGTTTGCATCTTCCATATGCTAAACTGGAATAGCCTTAAAAATAGGCCAGGTGGCATTGCTCACACCTGTAATCCCAGCACTTTGGAAGGCCGGGGTGGGAGGACTGCTTGAGGCCAGGAGTTCAAGACCAGCCTGGGCAACATAGCGAGACCCTATCTCTACAAAAAAAATTTTTTTAAATAGCCAGGTGTGGTGGCATGCACCTGTAGTACTACCTACTCAGGGGGCTGAGGTGAGAGGACCACTTGAGCCCAGGAGTTTGAGGATGCAGTGAGCCTAGATCACACCACTGTACTCCATCCTGAGCAACAGAGAGAGACCATGTCTCTAAGGAAAAAACAAAACAAAGAAATAGATGTCACTCAGGTTCCAAATAAAACACTGGCAAAGTAGTAGAGTGTCTTCTGAATTACAAAATATTTAATTATGCTTTATAAATTTTGTTGGGTATTCTGTTGTAGTCTACCTCTTTAAAATAGAAAATTCACATGATATACATATAGTAACAGAGAAAAATTTTCCCTATCCCTTTCCCAGAACAAAACACATTTTGTCTACAACCATGGTTACATGGTGGCTTATATATTCTTTAATCATTTAACAAGTAAAGTCCCTAAGTCAACCAGGGACTGAATCATAAACGTCTTCATCATAGCTTCCTCACCAAATGAAGTGATGATGAGCATATAGGAAGTGCCCTTTAGAAAATGCCTGGTAATTGAATTAACCAGGTAATTGAATACCTGCTTCTGCAGTATAAGTCTATAAAAAAAAGATAGGAACCATTCTCTCAATAGCTTTACCAACTCTGCCAGGGACCTTACCACAATATAAATAATCATTCTATTAAGATACATATAAGGCTATATGTGGGAGTCCACATTATGTACTATGGGAAATTAAAAGAAAAATGAGCCATTGCTCTCACCTAGGCTATCTAAATAACATTTTTTTTGGTTTTTAAAGAGTTCTGCTTTATTTTAACTTAACCTCAACCTAATGAACTCTCCAAGCACCTGCCAGAATGATCTTTCTAAAATAAAACCTAAATCTGATAGTTAATTTATCTTCTTCTTAAAATCCTAGACTGCCAATGTTTACAGTCTCAAGTCCAAATACCTTTGCATGGAAGTCATGCCCCTTGCACACTTCATCTATTCAGCTTCAACTCTTGCCATCAAATATTTATTGAGTATCTATCATTCATCAGATATTCTGTTCTAGCTGCTGATGAAACAACGATGATTAAAAAGACAAAGTCCCTGCCCTTATGGAGTTTACATTCTAGTAGGAAGAGACAAATAATAAATTGGCAAGTAAAACAATAAACAGATGGTATGCTACAGAGAAAAAATAAGAGGAGGGTATCGGGGTATTGGGCTGGAGAGACAGAGAATTTCTATTTTCTAAGGCTGGTCTAGCAAGGTAACACTGATCATAATTTTTTAGAAACTAAGGCAACAAGCTATACGTGTATCTGGATGGAAGAAGACTCCAGACAAAGGGAACACAAATGCAAAGTCCCACAGGCAAAAATACAAGCAGCTCATTCTAAGAACTAGGAACATGGAGGCCTTGGAGACCTATGTGATCAGACTGGAGTAAGCATGGAACAGAGTGGCAGGAGATGAAGCGAGAAAGGTAGCAGTGGGGAAAGAGGGACGTTGATAGAAATCCTGTAAAGCTTACAGCCACTGCAGGGAGGTTAGCTTTTACACTCCACTGAGAGTTCTGAGCAGAGAAGTGATGTGGTCAGAATTAGGTTTTAAATGTACCACTCGGCAAAGGCAAAGGCAGGGAGCCCTGTTGGGAGGCGACCCTGATAATTCAGCTGAGATGAAGAGGGTTTGGTGCAGGTGGTAATCTAATGTGTGTCGAATGCTGAAAACACCACGTACTGTTTCACCTTCCAGTTTCTTTGCACATAGTATTCTTTCTGCTTAGAAAGCTTTTCTCCTTTCTACTCATTGGGCTAATACATACACAATCTTTAATAGGTATTTGGGCATCTACTCCTCTCTAGAGGTTTCTAATTCACTCAAAAAGGGGGAAAATCATTCCTTCCTCCTACCCTCCCCAACCTAATACTTAACTCTATTATGGTACTTATATTCAATTACAATTATTTGCTTACATATGTATTGTCTTTACAGAACATGAACTCTTTGAAGGCAGGTAATTGTCCAGATCTAATTCATCTTTGTATCCCAGTGGCTGCCTTAAAATCTCTCAATAAGTATTTATTAAAGAAATAAAAGATGTTTCAACCCAGTAGAGTATATAAGCAAACACAAAGTTCTGTTATAACAAAAATGATATGGTGGTACAGGAAGTGACCAACACTCAGCATCAGGAAACAAAGGTGATATGAGGTAGGGAAGACAAGGAGATTCATTAGAAGGATACCACAAACTTTGAAGGGACTTACACTAAAGCTATGAACTACATACAATAGCCACAGCGAGATATAGACTGGGGGGCCTGAGCAATGACAATCCAAAGGCAGACTTGGCAGAACCTGGCAACGGGTATGAAGGAGAAGAAGACTACTAGATTTCAACCCCAGGGTACTGTAGGCTAACAAGGAGTGAGCAAGAAAGAGTGGGAAAGGAGAAAGGATCAATTCTAGCAGTCCAAGATGTTCCTGATATAAACTAATTAGATTCTATTTTTTCATATTTGAAGTTCATTCTGTTTTCTAAATGCATTCTAAAATATCTTTGATAGTTATTTCCAGAGTGTTTTTGGTAATTCATTTTTTCTTTTTAAATTTTATTTTTTATCTTTATCAAATTAACACATGCACATGATAGCAAATCAAATAGGTAAGAAGAGCTTATGATTAAAAGCAGCAGTAGCCTGGCCAGGCGTGTTGGCTCACACCTGTAATCCCAGCACTTTGGGAGGCCAAGGTGGGCGGATCACCTGAGGTCAGGAGTTCGAGACCAGCCTGGCCAACATGGCGAAACCCCGTCTCTACTAAAAATATTAGTGGGGTGTAGTGGAGGACACCTGCAATCCCAGCTACTTGGGAGGCTGAGGCAGGAGAACTGCTTGAACCTGGGAGGTGGAGGTGGACGTTGCAGTGAGCCGAGATTGCGCCACTGCACTCCAGCCTGGGGGACAGAGTGAGACTCCGTCTCCAAAAAAAAAAAAAAAAAAAAAAAAAAAAAGCAGTAGTATCCTATCCTTCACTCTGTCAGTCCTTTGAGGACTGACCTTCTTTTAATAGTTCCCTAAAAGGCAGAGGTTCCCAGGCCAGAGGCTGCCATTAGGGATTACTGACTGCTCTGACCACCCCCAAGCTTTGGCAACACATACTCAGTACACACCTGATCTACCCATAGGACTGTAGGACCTGGCCTCCTCTCCTGAGGCCGCTGAAGGAAGGGGTCAAGTGAGTTAACTGTTTGTATGGCAAACTTTGACCAAAAGGGGGAGGAGCAGGAAATGGGAGGAAACCATAAACACCTCTTCACACCTTCTTTGGATGGAAAGGACAGAGAAGCAATAGCTCTACACAACCTTCCTGAAGACTTCCAGTAAAACCAAGCAATCAGCAAGGCCTATTACAAAGAGAGGGCCAGCCTTTCTGCCTTGTCTCACTCTTCTTTCCCTCCTGCTTTCCTGAGATGGTACTCCCCAATAAAGTGTTAGTGGGTAAGGTTTTTGTTTCAGGTTGTTTTCTAGAGAACACTAGCTAAGAACAGAGTCTATGACTTGTGTCTTGTATTTTCCATTTTGGTGAATTAAACCTCTACTTTTTGGGAGCATCTCCAACTCTATTTGGCTATCCTTCTACTGTGTGCTTTCCATTGACAATAATGTTCTAAATCTCCTTTTGCATTCTCTAATTGTTTGCTCTTCATTATACCTAGTATTGGTTTTATAAATGAGTATTTATGAGTATTTTAGTTAGAAGATTCCTTTAAAGTTCTCTTCTGTTTCCTGCATTATCTTTTGCCCCTAGGTTCAGGTTTTCTTTTTGTTTTTTCTGGTCTCTTTCATGCTAAAAGTTCCTCTAAGACTTCTAATGATCCTCACGTACTGGTAACCCAGGTAAAAGGACTTGTTAGCTAGTATGAGTTTCCTCTGTGAATTTGCTTTCTGATTACATCTCTCTTTGGAATTAAAATTCTAATGGGAACTCAGTATAAGACAGAGAAGAGCATGTCACTGGCAGGCTTTGTGTTAGTGTAAGCCACTAGCAAAGTGCAGAATGCCCTCCCTCTCCATCCCCCTAAATATGAGACTAAAGGAAGAGGTGCCAATATCTAACACACACACAAAATTAAATTTCCCCAAACATTCTGATCAACTTCTTTGGAGACAAACACTGTTTTATGTTTTGTTTTTCCTTTGGGTTGTCTTTTTTTTTTTTTTTGAGAGTGAGTCTCACTCTGTCGCCCAGGCTGGAGTGCAGTGGCACAATCCTAGCTCACTGCAACTTCCACCTCCGGGTTCAAGTGATTCTCCTGCCTCAGCCTCCCAAGTAGCTGGGATTATAGGCACCTGCCACCACGCCTGGCTAATTTTTGCATTTTTAGTAGAGACAGGGTTTCACCATGTTGGCCAGGCTGGTCTCCACCTGACCTCAGGTGATCCGCCCGCCTCGGCCTCCCAAAGTGCTGAGATTACAGGCATGAGCCACCGCATCCGGCCTTGTTTTTCCTTTGTTAATGCTAGAGAAAGGGGATGGCATAGTACTTGCTGACTACTGCCACTGGGAAGGGGTTGGAAAGGGTTTGGCAATGCCAGGTAACTGAGTTATCCCCTAAATAAACACTGAATTCCTCTGTTTTCTGTCTCTTTCATTTTTGCTCAGAGAGCTCCCATGGGTTCCCCCTGGACAGACTGGCTTCCATAACACTAGCAAGCAGCCTCCTTGTATTCACCAACAGGCATCTGCTTATTCTTCATTTCATCCAACTATTGGTTCTCATTTGTTTTAGCTTTTCCAGAAATTTAATAACTCTCTTGTATATTAGTGCTACATTTCACCTTTTTCTATTTGCTATTGCTGATTTATTTTTTGTACTTCTATACTGTTATTTCAGGGGAGTCTTGTAAGAGATGTGAGGCAAATGAAAGCATCTATCTACCATCTTGACCCAGAAGTAATGATTTATTTTCTGCAAAACAAGATTTCAACCATAAATGAGTTCTGTTAATTCCAGTTTCCTGTATATATTTGAGAAACGTTAAATAACTATTAAACATTTATGTTTCTTTAAAAAACTTTTAAGAACTCGAAGATTTATTAAAAGAAAATTAGAGAAGATTAAAAGGAAAATAAGAAGTGTTTACTACAATTTTTAAAACTGCCTGTATACTTATGCTTTAATAAATTAGACACATTTAAATTACAGGAAGCAAAGCAACTCAGAGAAGGATCAAAACTAAATATGTGGCCGGATGCAGTGGCTCACGCCTGTAATCCCAGCACTGTGGAAGGCCGAGGCGGGTGGATCATGAGGTCAGGAGATCAAGACCAGCCTGGCCAACATGGTGAAACCCCATCTCTACTAAAGATACAAAAAATTAGCCAGGTGTGGTGGCGCACACCTGTAATCCCAGCTACTCGGGAGGCTGAGGCAGGAGATTCGCTTCAACTCAGGAGACGGAGGTCACAGTGAGCCGAGATCGCGCTATTGCACTCCAGACTGGGAGACAGGATGAGACGGACGAGACTCCATCTCAAAAAAAAAAACCCTAAATATGTGCTGTAAGTCACAGTCCTAATGCCATCTACAAACACACCCAGCACTATATGCTAAACATTATTTTAAATCCTTACAAACAGAAAAGATTTGCAAGGGTCTAACTACTCTCAGAAACAAAAGAAAACATCAAGTATTTACCAGTTAGAATGCCTAATTTTTCATCTCCCTCCTTCTTCATGAATGCAATAGTAGCCAAGATCAGAATGCAGTCTAAAGAGGAAAATAATTCCCGTTACCCCACTGATCTCTAGCAAATGGATCAATAAGGCAGGCCATGGACTCTGATCCTTCAATCAGGAATGGCAATGAAATGTAAACCAGTGATTACAACATTGAATCCTTTATCACAATGAGGCCAGCCTGGAGAAGAAATGGGAGTCCTATGTTAGAAGTAGTCATCAGAAATGCTATTATAAACAGACTGTTATTACTGAACAGGAAAACCTATCTCAACTTAAGAAAGGTGGCCTGCGGAAGACAGAACTAGGGATACCTGAAACCAGCTAACAAAAGAACCAAAAACAAGCCATCCATATTTTAATAGTTGTTTAGTAATGAAAATGTTTGTAGTTTTCACTCCACATTTCCTGTGAAAGTCAAGTCAATGCTAAACCAACAGGGCATACTTTAAAAAAGCATAAAAAGACATATCTATTTCTTCTCTTTACTTATAGTCTTCCTCACTTGAAACTTCATTATTATCATTATCAATTAAATCAACTACACTATCCAGCTTCATTCAAGAATAATTTTCTAGGCCTGGCACGGTGGCTCCCACCTGTAATCCCAGCACTTTGGGAGGCCGAGGCGGGTGGATCACATGAGGTCAGGAGTTCCAGACCAGCCTGGCCAATATGGCAAAACCCCGTCTCTACTAAAAATACAAAAATTAGCTGGGCATGGTGGCATGTGCCTGTAGTCCCACTTACTTGGGAGGCTGAGACAGTAGAATTGCTTGAACCCAGGAGGCGGAGGTTGCAGTGAGCCATGATGGCGCCACTGTACTCCAGCCTGGGAGTGCAGTTAATAAGATAAAATTTTGGGAAGCCAAAATGCATCAGATAGTCAAATTAATCAATTCTGTGCTTACCCCAGAGGAACCAAAGGCTCCAAGACAATTAGTAGACATTTCTCAAGGGTTTGGCCAAAGGTGGGTTACAGAGACTTGGTGGGGGAAGGCAGAGTTTATGTAAAGAAAAAGTTAACTAAATGTCTTCAGGCCTTCAAATAAATTTTGACTAAGTGAAAAAAAAAAAAAAAGAAAAAGTTTAATAGTAAGGTCTGTATTCTTTATATTATACTTAATGTAATACCTGTCATCAAAATGGGGGCAGGGCCAGAAATAGCATAAACTTTAGAAAGATAAACATGGGTTAAAATTTAGGCTCTGCAATGAATGTACTATTTGTGTGACCTTAGATGAGTAACTTAAGCTCTCAAGGCCTTCGGTTTTTCATCTGCAAAATGAAAATAAGGATCATTACCTAAAAGGGTACCTACAAGAATTAACTAAGATAGGCCGGGTGCAGTGGCTCACGCCTGTAATCCCAGCACTCTGGGAGGCCAAGGCGGGTGGATCACCTGAGGTCAGTAGTTCGAGACCAGCCTAACCAACATGGTGAAACCTCGCCTCTACTAATAATACAAAAATTAGCTGAGCGTGGTGGCAGGTGCCCGTAATCCCAGCTACCAAAGGAGGTTGAGGCAGGAGAATCACTTGAACCCGGGAGGTGGAGGTTGCAGTGAGCCACGATCTCACCATTGCACTCCAGCCTGGGCAAGACAGTGAGACTCCGCTTCAAAAAAAAAAAAAAAAAAAAAAGGAATTAACTAAGATCATATATAAAAAATTCTTTGCTTTTGGCAAAAAAAAAAAAAAGCCGGGTGCAGCGGCTCACGCCTATAATCCCAGCACTTTGGGAAGCTGAGGCAGATGGATCACTGAGGTCAGGAGTTCGAGACCAGCCTGACCAACATGGAGAAACCTCATCTCTAGTAAAAATAGAAAAAATTAGCTGGGCTTGGTGGCGCATGTCTGTAATCTCAGCTACTCGGGAGGCTGAAGCAGGAGAACTGCTTGAACCTGGGAGGCGGAGGTTGCAGTGAGCCGAGATCGCGCCATCGCAGTCCAGCCTGGGCAACAAGAGCGAAACTCCATCTCAAAAAAAAAAAAAAAAAAAAATAGAGATAATAATTACCACTATTATTGTGAAAGAATAAGAAAAAATAGAAAGCATACATAGTCCAAAATATAAATGCTAACAGCTGAGTTATAATCTTAAAGTTCTCCATGTTCTTTTTCATATGAACAGTCACATCAATACAAATATGAGGGGAAAAATCACATTCTTCTTCCTAAAGATTGCATATAAGAGATAGGCTAAGTAAAAGTAAACAAACCTCCCCCCCTGCATCTCCTGTTTTTCAAAAATGCCCCCTGGTTCCTCAGGAGGGAAAACTTTAAAGCATATATAGTAGCCTCTTTTATCCACAGGGCATATGCTCCAAGACTCTCAGTAGATTCCTAACACTGCAGATAGCACTGAACCCTCATATACTGTTTTTTTTCCTATACATATATAACTGTGAGAAAGTTTAACTTAACAAATCAGGCACAGTAAGAGATTAACAACAATACTAATAGTAACAGAACAATTATAACAATATAGTGTAATAAAAGTTACGTGAATGTGGCCTCCTTCTCGCTCTCTCTCAAAATACCATACCTTAGTATTTTCAGACTATGGTTGATCATGGGTAATTGAAACCATGAAAAGGGACACTGTGGATGGGGGGATTACTTTACTTAGATAAGCTTTTGGTCACAGTTGCTCTATGTTAGCGAACAACAGTCAGGTGACCATTTTAACTGAAATTAAGAAAGCTATAAACAATGCCATCTACTTATTTAGTTCTACAATGTGTTGCCATTGAAATCTGTAGATAATCTGATTATCATTTAAATAGCAATGACTCAAAGAGTCTAAATATTGCTTATTGAGGTTTTCTAAGGTTCCACCAAGTTTGCAGCAGTGGTCATCATTTTCACAGTCCGGAGTGCCCCTATCTTTTACACTGTTTAACACAGTGAAAAAATAGTACTTTGAATTTTCTCCCTCTTCTGCAAGATTTGCAAGGGCAGGTAATACATAGGAAAAAAGGATGCTTCTCCTTTTCCGCAAGACCACAAATCACACCAAACTATAAAAACATGGAAACTCTGTTTTTCCTGTGTTCTTGCTTAGGTATTTCTGCTAATGACTTTTTTCCCCCCATTAATTTTATCAGTCCTAGACTCTCTGAAACTATCCTACCACTAAACCTCACTCAATACTAAAGAATTTGATTCTAGTTTCAGATAATGTCTTGTATAACGCATATACATACACACACAAAGCAATGCCATAGCCATTCTCCTCACACCTTCCACTTCTGCCAAACTTCTCAAACTCTTTCCTCATATAAGCTTTTAACAACACTTTACTGACATCATTTTCATGTAATTTACTGTATCCCACTTTGTATTATAATTACTTACACATCTTACGCATTCTTCCTTAATACTCCTTGAAATGAACTGTTCAACTGATTTTCACTCATAAATTAAAAATATATTCAATGCAACACTGCTTAATTTTCATTTAAAAGTATGTGTTCACTCTTCTGCTTCCAATAAAGATGGAGTAACAAGAACCAGATTTAAGGCCAGGCGCAGTGGCTCACGCCTGTAATCCCAGCACTTTGGGAGGCCGAGGTGGGCAGATCACCTGAGGTCAGGAGTTCGACCTGGCCAACAAGGTGAAACCCCATCTCTACTAAAAATACAAAAATTAGCAGGGCATAATGGCACATGCCTGTAATCCCAGCTACTTGGGAGGCTGAGGCAGGAGAATTGCTTGAGCCTGGGAAACGGAGGTTGCAGTGAGCCAAGATTCTGCCACTGCACTCCAGCCTGGCCAACAGACTAAGAATCTGTCTCAAAAAAAAAAAAAAAAAAGAAACAGATTTTTCTTTTTACCTGAAACTACTAAAAAAACCACAAAATACATGAAACAACAGCACTCAAGACATTGTCTAGTAGGCAAGGAAGGACAGAGATTCCAGAGTCAGGAAACAAGCAAGTTGAGCTTTACAACTGCCCCAACTTATCACATGGATAAAGTTTCCAGGCTGCAGCAGAGAAGGAAGGACCCAGGCAGAACCTGGTGGGTTCCATGAATTGAGAAGATAGACCTAGAAGTCTGGAGAAGCCAAGACAGCACAGGGGACGGTACTGGAGAAAGTTGCAGAGAGAAAGAGAGCTCTAAAGATCTCAAGTACTCAGTTGAGTGATGACTGCCACATCTATGTGTGAAACTTCCAGAGGCTGGGGAAAGAACCACCTGAAAGAAATACAGGGAACAGTACTAGGAGCTCACACAGTGCCAAGAATAATCCTGTTCTTAACAGCCAGAGTGGAAAACCTAATGATGTAAGGAGCATCCATTAGAGTTTTAAAAAGAGTCTTGCCTCAGTGGCCAGGAAAAATTAACCAGAGACTAAACACAGCTCTAGTCCTGTCTAACAAAGCTTAAAAAACAAGACCTGAGGTCGGGCGTGGTGGCTCATGCCTGTAATCCCAGCACTTTGGGAGGCCGAGGCGGGCGGATCTTGAGGTCAGGAGATAGAGACCATCCTGGCTAACACAGCGAAACCCCATCTCTACTAAAAAGACAAAAAATTAGCCAGGCGTGGTGGTACGCACCTGTAATCCCAGCTACTCGGGAGGCTGAGGCAGGAGAATCGCTTGAACCCGGGAGGCAGAGGTTGCAGTGAGCCGAGATCGCGCCACTGCACTCCAGCCTGGGCGACAGAGCGAGACTCCATCTCAAAAAACAAACAACAAAACAAAACAAACAAACAACCCAAGACCCGAAAGGATCAAACTTTTTCTAAGAAACGCAGTTGTGCTGTAGATAAAGCTCAAGAATATTTATAGACATAAAAAATTATCTAGAACCCAACAAGATAAAATTCACAATGTATGGCATCCAGTCAAAAATTACCAGGCATGCAAAGAAGCAGGAAAACTACAACACATAATGCTGAGAAAAATAAATTAATCACAACTCACCCAGAACTAATACATATGTTAGAATTAGCAGATGAGGACATTAAAACATTTGTGTCTCATATGTTCAAGATAAAAAAGGAAAAAAATGAACATGCTAAGAGACATGAGAGGTGTGAAAAAGACCTACATAAAAATTCTAGAGACGAAAGCTATAATCTGAGATTTAAAAAACACATATACACCCACTGGATTGGATTAATGGCAGACTAGATGTTGCAGGGAAAAAAAGGTAAGTACATTTGATGTTACCATATAGAAAAGATCCAAAAAGAAACAGAGAGAGGGAGGGAAAAAGACCTAAAAGAATAGTGAGCCTTGAAAATGACATAGAATGGCTGGTTAGGATCTGCTATATATCTGCGATGACAAGTTTTCAAAAGTAGTATGTAAAGAATCTAACTCTTGGCCATCTTGAGTGGAAGGCAAAGCAGAGAGGAAGATGACTATGCTCAATATACCACATTTGGTATACTTGCCATGGGTTGCCAATCCCTAAGATTTCATTGTCACCTTCCACTTCTCTTTCTCTGTCGTGCCCTTTCCCCAGTTGCGGGAGTCATGCCCTTCGTCCTTCCTGCCTGACTCCCCAGGAGGCTAGAGCTCCTATGCCATTTACCGTCATACACCCAGGCTTCCACTTTCACTAAAACATCTACAATACAAGAGTTTCCTGTGTCCCTCAAATAGTTGTTTATTCCAAAATCCTCCCAATCTTCTAGCCATGTAAAGCATCTATTTCCCAAACTACATGTGTGCTAAGTATTAACTGATTTAAGTAATAAGCATTAGGTTACAAGTGACTACCCAATTTAACTCTCCCATTCAACATTTCAAAAGAGGACACTATCAATGAATTAGCAAGTTAAAAATCATTAATTAACTCAAAAGAAATATTTGCTGGATGCTGACACTGGTGATATAGTCCCAATCCTGAAAGAAACTATAGTCTGATGGAAAAACACAGAAATATACTCACAATTATAGTACCATATAAGCTAAACGAACAATGCATACAGAATGTTAATGAAGCACAGAGGGACAACTGTGTGAGACAGGAAGATTTCTGAAGTAGGTGAAGTCTAAGCTGAACCTTTAAAGACAAATTAATCATGTGGGAGAAAAATGCATCTGGCCCAAAGTAATAAATAATAGTCATGTATCACTTGATGACAGGGATATGTTCTGAGAAACGTGTCCTTAAGCAAGTGTCTTTGTGTGAACATCACACAGTGTACTTACACAAATTTAGATGGTATTGCCTACTACACACCTAGACTATATGGCATCGCCTATTGCTCCTAGGCTACAAACTTGTACAGCATGTGACTATACTGAATACTGTAGGCAAGCATAACACAAACCTAAGTATTTGTGTGTCTAAATATAGAAAAGGGACAGTAAAAATACAGTATTATAATCTTATGGAACCACTATTGTGTATGCAGTCTGTCGTTGACCCAAATGTTGTTATACAGTATATAACTACATGAAAAATGTTTTTAAAAAAATATGAAAATGTATATGAAAAGCAATAAGGTATAAAATACAGCATATGGAGGGAGAAAGGAAGTAAAGAAGGAGAAGAATCTTCATATTTTCTGGGGCTGGGGAAATAAGAGAGCAAATCAGGGGATTCATTCTATTATAAAAGGGATCCATCATGACCTGCTAGAACCACTCAAAACTGTCTCTCTGTCATGAAGCTATATGGGAAAACCTTACGTATGCTATAAAGGAAATTGCGAGGTCCTGTATCCCTCTGAGTCAGGGATCAGCAAACTATAGCTTGTGGTTCAAAGCCAGCCCTCCACCTACTTTTGCATAACCTGCAAGCTAAGCATGGTTTTACGTTTTTAAATAGTTAAGAGGCCAGGCACGGTGGCTTACGCCTGTAATCCCAGCACTTTGGGAGGCCGAGGTGGGCAGATCACAAGGTCAGGAGATCGAGACCATCCTGGCTAACATGGTGAAATCCTGTCTCTACTAAAATTACAAAAAATTAGCCAGGCATGGTGGCAGGCACCTGCCCTTGGGAGGCTGAGGCAGGAGAATGGCGTGAACCCAGGAGGCAGAGCTGGCAGTGATCCGAGATCGCACCACTGCACTCCAGCCTGGGTGATAGTGAGAGACTCTGTCTCAAAAAAAAAATAATAATAAATTAAAAATAAAGTTAAAAGAATCATATTTTGTGACACATACATATTACATGGAACTTAAATTTCAGTGTCCGTAAATAGTTTTACTGGAACACAGCTACAACCAACGATTCATTTACTTATCATCTATAGCTTCTTCAATGCTTCATCAGCACAGCCGGGTAGTTGTGACAGAAACAACATGGCTTGCAAAGCCAAAATTGTTTACTATCTGGCCCTTTACAGAAAAAGTTCGTGGATCTTTGCTCTCAGTTAAGAGTCTTTTCAAAACCCAATCTCCTTCACTTAAGTCCCAGTTTGTCTCTTCCAAACTTCTTATGAGGAATCATAATTAACATTAGGAAAAAAGAATACAGTTGTATCATTTGTGGACATAAAAGCATTCATTTATAATTTCATAAAATAATTATTGACTTCCATTACTCAGTGACAGTAACCTTTGAGGGATCAGGGCAAGACTCAGATACTAAAAGACAGGTAGATTCCTGCCAATCAGCTGAGGGCATGCTTTATAGTGGAGAGAAAAACAATATTCTATTTATTCTTTTTAGGAGTTCAAGGTAATATCCCTTCATTTTTGAAATTATAAATTGCCAACAACACTACATGTTCAATGAGCTATACAAACTGACTAAAGCCAGTTGTATGCGATGGCTCACGCCAGTAATCCCAGCACTTTGGGAGGTCGAGGCAGGTGTATCACCTGAGGTCAGGAGTTCAAGACCAGTCTGGCCAACATGGTGAAACCCTGTCTCTACCAAAAAGTACAAAAATTAACTGGGCATGGTGACGCACACCTGTAGTCCCAGCTACTTGGGAGGCTGAGGCAGGATAATCACTTGAACCCAGGAGGCGGAGGTTGCAGTGAGCCGAGATCACACCACTACATTCCAACCTGGGCGAAAGAGTGAGACCCTGTCTCAAAAACAACAAAAAAGAAACTGACTAAAGCCAAACATGTTATCATAAAACAAAACTTATAACAAAGATATGATACTTAATACTCATAACTGTAGAATGTTTAGCAAATGCTGGGAAGGAGGCAGGGGATGGAGAGAGGTTGGTTACTGGGTACAAAAACACAGAAGAAATAAGTTCTTGGCCAGGTGCAGTGGCTCGCACCTGTAATCCAAGCACTCTGGGATGCAGAGGCAGGCAGATCACTTGAGGTCAGAATTTCGAGAGCAGCCTGGCCAACATGGTGAAACCCTGTCTCTACTAAAATTACAAAATTAGCCAGGTGTGGTGGCATGCACCCGTAGTCCTACCTACTTGGGAGGCTGAGGCAGGAGAATCACTTGAACCCAGGAGGCGCAGATTGCAGTGAGCCAAGATCTGAGCCAAGACTGCACCACTGTACTCCAGCCTGGGCAACATAGTGAGATTCAGTCTCCAAAACAAAGAAGAAGAAGAAGTTCTAATATTCAACAGCACAGTGACTATAGTTAACAATAATTTATTGTGTATTTCAAAATAGCTAGAAGGGGAGATTTGAAATGTTCTCTATACAAAGAAATGATAAATATTTGAGGTCATGGGTATCCTAATTACTGATTTGATCATTACACATTATACGCATGTATCAAAATATCATATGTACCCCATAAATATGTATAATTATGCATCAATAAAACTTAAAAAGTAATCATAATTGATATTTTTACTTAGTGATTAGACATAAATGACAAATCATTCATATAAATTAATGCAACTAGTCCAGGACAGTCAGTAAACATTCTGGAAACCGTATGTTTTCATATCTATGAGGAGTAATTCAAGGAAGTAGGAAAAATAAGCAAGGCAACAGAAGATTAAAGGGAACGTTCAGCAGTATCTTCAAATATTTGGTTTTTATGTAGAAGACATGAAACCACTCAATGCAACTCCAGATGAGAAAATGAGAAGGAGTGAGAAGACAATCATGAAAACAGATTTCAGCTCATAAAGAAAACTTTTCTACTTATCATGGCCAACAATGGAACTATTTATCTTATGAGGTTCACAGAATAATGGAAGAGCATGCGAATTTGGGACTAAATAGATCTCCAGTTTGAAACCTATCTCTCTCTGTTTCCAGGCTGCCTGATCTTTAGAATCTCAAAGTCTCCTGCAAAAAATGGGAAAAACCTCACCTATCTCAAAGATGATTGACAAGTGATACATAATATGAATAATTATGTTTGTAAATGTGCTATGTATGTAAAATTGACTGGCACAAAGTAGGTATAAAAAAACAAAAACATTTTTATAATGGTCATTATTAGTGGTGGTTAAGAACAGAAATGCTGGAGCCAAACTCCTTGGGTTTCCTAATTTCTACAACATGGACATTAATAGTACTGCTGAGTAAGTATATAAGGCTGCTGAGTGGAATAAATGCTCTAAAATATGTAAAGCACTTAAGACAATGCTTAATGCACAGTATGTGCTCTGCATTATTATTTAGTATTATTAGATAATATTAATATTTTTATCATAGAATAATGTATACTTTATTACATATTATAAGAATGAAGTAATCTTATTCAACAATGAATTCCATTACTGCAAGTGTTTTATCAAAGTCTTAAGTCAGGGATGGAAATTTCAGAAATGAATCAGAGTCTCAACTAAATTAATTTATTCACACATTCAACAAATATTTACTGAATACCCAATACCTACAAGGGGCATTAGAGTACAGTGGTTAAGAATATCAATTTCTAAGCCAGTCTGTCTGGATATCATTCCCCACAACATCTCTTAGTAGCTGTCTGAACTTGGGCAAGTTACTTAACCGTCATATGCCTAGTTTCCTCTTTTGTACAATGGAGATAACACAGAGCTGCTGAGAGGATTCAATGAGTTAATGAGGGTAAAGTGCTTAGAACGGTATCTGATATTAATGCATCATAAGCATATATAAAGATTAGCTATTTTTATTATGACTATGTGCCAGGCACTGTTCTACACACTGGGAATACAACAGACTGCTGACGAGGATCCTGATCTCAGGGAGCTTCTGTTTGGGGTCGGGGAGGAGACAGACAACAAACAAACATATAACAATCAACGGTAAGAACTAAAATCAGTGACAAGTGAAGACAAAGCAGAATGAAGGTAGGAGTGATGAGGGAGTGCTGGTTTAGCTAGGAAAGTTAAGGGAGAGGTCGCCCTTGAGAAGAAATATTCAAGAGTAGAACAAACCATATGGGTACCAGTGGGAAGACATTTTGGGCAGGGAGAAAAGCAGAAGGGTCCTGAGCAGGAGGGTCTTAGGCATGTTAAGAGAACAGCAAAGAGGCCAGTGTCATTAGAATGAAATACAGAAAGAAAAGGATGGCAGGAGATGAGACTAGAGAGACAGCCAGGTTCCTGATCATGCAGGGTCACAGGATTTTATTCAGAGACTGAAGGGGAGCAACTGTAAGGTATAAGCACAGGAATGACAAAATCAGACTTGCATTTTAAATGATTCACTCTGGCAATGACCTCTAATGAATTAGTTTCCTGAATTTAATCATTCTAATAGTAATAGAGAAACATTTAAGAGTCTGGGGAATAGACACAATACATTGTGATGGCAGAATGCAGCATTTCTCACTGCCTAGAAGAGGTTGAACACTGGAGCCCACTAAGAAAGGTGCTACAATCAAAAGAGCAAAGTATTTACTGCAGGGGAGCCTTGTATTTGTGCCTGGCAAATTTCACATACAAAATGTTGGGAGGAAATGTTCAAAAAAGATTTGACAGTGGTTTGGAAATGTTGAAAAAAAAGAGTGAGGAATTATGACTTCGGAAGGGAACATGTGGGATACCAATAATGTCAGATCCCGGAGAGGAATGGTATACCAGAAGGAGACCAGGGTGGGTAAGGGGGGGCTGTATCACCTAGTATGACTGGTTCCCAGAAACTATCTGTCTACCATAAACAGATGTCCAAGAAACAACCCCTAGGTAAGGAATTACATGATGAAAAGTTCAAATTTGAGAGAGATAAAATTGTTTACATATGGCAATCTGTGTAGATCAGAGTTTGGAATTTCTCAGGGGAGAACAGAAAACTGGAGGAACAAAACCAGGAATTTGAGCTTATGCCTTATCACTGAGAGGAATGAGGAATGTCATTACTGTTCAATATGAAGATGTCTCCTGTAGCAATACAAATTTAAGTAATAGGTTGTCAAATATTAAGCTTACCTAGACTCAATTGCAAAGCTAAGGAGAAAGATAAAGGAAAAAATAGAGAAGGGGGCCAAAAAAGAAAGAGAAAAGTGTGTGTGATTAGGGGGTGACTAAGACGGAAAAAACAATTTAATGAGTCAAGATTGCTCGGATTTCATCATAGCTTCATTTATGAAATTCTGTTTATCTTTTCAAGAAAGCTAAGTAATTTTTAGAAAAGCAATACTTTTCAAGAGACAATCTTGGCCTCAGCGAAGAAATGATTATAACTGAAGATATGGAGCAATGTAGAAGAATTCAGAAAGAAACCAAATCTCTGGAAAAAGTGAGGCTTTTTTTTTTCATTGTAAAGGAACATAAATTCAGTCTCCAACCCACAATCCCCGCCTATCCTCCAACTCCCCAAATCCTGCAAAGCCCATAGAAAGTGGAAAGTGTGCCAAAACAAACAGTGTGGCTGCAGCTCCGTGGATGAAGGGTGGGATAAGGTTCGAGTGGCAAGGGAGCATGACTGGCAGGCAACCGAATGGAATCACTTTAAAGCAGTGCCACAAAATGGAGACTAAATGCTGAGAGGACCTCCAGAATTCAAAGAAAATGGGATATGCTTAGCAAAATCACAGAATAGATTCTCTACTCCAACTCCTTTCAAAAACCAGACAAACAAAAACAGGAAAAGAGAAAATGAAACAAAGCAAAACATACCTGCTCTCTTATCTGTCTTTAATTAAAGCATAAAATACCCTCCCTCTTCTCTTCTCCCAACCACCCAGGAACAGAAGAGCGAACTGGCAGCAGCTCAGGTGAAAGACTTCAGCCTTCCAGCTACAAAGAGGGGAGATAGCAGACAATGGAACTGGTGATTCATTACAAAAGAATACACTCCAGAGCGGCCTGCTGCCACATGGACTCACTGCACTATTTAAAGGAACAGCAACCCCCTTTCCAACCTCCCTTATTCCTAACACCTTCCCTCCTCTTGGTCCTGATGGAAAACAGATTTTGAAGAAAATGCCAGCAAAGCACTGAGCTGTCCAAGAAAGGGAGGGCTTTGTGTTCCACAGAAACTGGCAGTCTTATACCATAGTAGAGTACAAAAATTTTCTTTCACATCCATACTGTAAAATCTTTTCCTCTCTGCCTAGTACACTTTCCCTTTCAACAATAGATAGTATAACTGAATTTGAGTTTGGCTAAACATTTATTTTTTACTAATTAGTGTTGAAGTCATTTGCAATTTTGTTTTTCGAATTTTACACATAGTACAAGAATGATTTATCTTTCCTTCATATTCCATATTGCTATTTTCATAAATATGAGATGCAATAATCTGGTCTATATGCCCAAAAAATAAGAGATCTCAGTGAAATACTCCTACAACATACACATGAACAGCCGATAAAATTAACGTTTTAAGTATCACATAAGCATGTCTATCGGCTATATTAGAATTTTGTGATTAAATTGCCATTTGCTTTTTAGCAGAGCACTGATTACTTACTATAAATGACAGAGTAGTTTGATAATTAAAACAAAAACAGGCCCTATAAAAGTAGAGCATATGTAATAATAAAGCGCATACACTGTGCAAATACTGACAAGGATCTAATATGGTATGATGAAAAAGTCATTCACTGAAAGCCCTTTTCCAACAGCTGAGCAATGGAAACTGGGGACTACAGAGATGGTATCATCTGAAGATGCAAAGAACCTAAGTAGCAAAACAGTGAAAACACATCCATACATCGCTCTTACATTGTAATAAACCGTTTAACTTTGAAAACCCAGGCCTAACCACCAGTATAGACATTCTATATTGAGAAAGCTTATGTGACAGGTCATTATCAAATGTTGGGATTGGATGTCTGGCTCAAACACACACACACACACATGTGCACACACACACACACACGCAGGCACAACACAACACAACCACAGGACAAATGAAAGACTTGGCCCAGCTGGTTATTTCCTTTGATTGTTTTCCCCCTAGATTACTAACAACTATGTACATTACATTAACACAGAAAGTATATACAACAAAACAAATACGCTGGAATACTGAAAATTCACAAATTTGATATTCTATCCTTGCCAGTTGTATAATTTCAGGATGGGCAAAAACTCATAACTTTTCTTCAATATTTAGCACATCCTGATAAAACAGGTGATTTTATTATTAGAATTATTAAGCACCCCAGAATCTCTCTTTCCAGTTTCCATTTATTTCTTCTACTTCATTCCTAAACTTATGGCTTCTTTAAATACTAATTATTACGACCACAATATTAAGTGTGCATAAGCATGTGCACTCTAACTTAATGGTCACACACACTACACTTACCAGCTCCTCTAGAAACTAAGGGGAAATGTTCCAAGAGGCAATAGAAAACTCATCATAAAAATTTCCATTTTAGATCATTCTTTCACTAGTTTAAAAAATAAATAATGAAAAGTCAAGTCATTGAAAAGCCTTCAGTAATTGCTAAGCAAGAAGAGAGCTGTTACCCTCTAATATTGCCAGTTAATAAAAATTGAATGAGGGCTCTAAGGTTAAGCAAGTATCATCTCCCAAGCAAAAAGAGAATCCAGAAACAGGATTTATCTTTTATGTAAATTTTTTTTAAAAAATAAAGCAGTATTTCTTTTCTTTTTTTTTTTTTAATTCTTCAGCTAAAACAGCGGAAGAGGTGATTTATTATATGGTTGTTACACTCGGCCACAAATAAACACAGAAATAGTCCAGAATGTCACAGGTCCAGGGCAGAGGACCAACATGGGCATTTTGTTTATGAGCAAGGTGGGTCTCAGAGGTGATCGGCGATCAGAGGGCGATGAAGTTCTAGATCCATTGAGACAAGTTCTAGACAGTAGCATGCAGTCCCACAACTTGTACCAGCATCCCCAGCGTCTGGCATTCCATGTTTCTGCTCCTGTGGCCTCCACGGTGCAACAAGCTAGCGGTTTACTTGGACCTCTGCCTCATCTTTCTTCTTTTGCGCTTCAGCCTGCGCATTCGCTTCTTCCTCCACTTGGCTCTCATGGCACAGAGGTTTCCAAAAAAATGGCGCTAAGGCCGAGAGCATAAAGCAGTATTTCAAAAGAGGTAATTAGACTGATGATGAGGGGATAACACATGGAAGAGAAACATTTCAAAAGCTTCTCCGCTTTTCCAAAAGAGGAAGGAGTTTGTTGAAATTTTCTAAACTCAGATTTGGTGAAAAATTACTTTGAAAAGATATATTTGAAACTTCTTTCCTCTGGGTCCCAATGGGAAAATATCCCTACAGGTTTCCCTCCTTCCAAACAGCACTGCAGGGCATTATATAACTAAACAGGATTCCAGCTCCTAAAATGATGCCTCCATCCTGATAACTAGCTGGCTCTCTCGCCCTCCGGTGGTTACTGGGAGAGGAAGAGAAGAGAGAACACAAAAAAAGGGCAACCTCCTTAAAAGGAAAGCACTGTCCAGTGATGAAATTTCCACAGAGCATAGAAACCTGGAGTGAAACTGATCTTAAGTCTGAGACTAAAGGATTTGAATGTCCTACAGTGTAAATGATTTCTCATTGATAAATCAGAGCCTCATCATTTCCTCTTAACCTATACATAAAGGAAAAAGGGTAATGGAGCGTACAGAAGGATGCTAACAAGAAAAATTGCCTTGCCAGGGAGAACTGTGGAAGAGCATTCACCTTTCCATTTGTCAGGAATGACTTGCTAAAATGCAGATTAGATATTGCCTGGCATAACCAAAAAGAGGCAGGGAGAAAGAGGGGAAAAGGATGAGGAGAGAAAGGGGGATTGAGGGGGTTGGGGGAGAGAGTGAGTGGGAGTGGGAGAGAGAGAAGAGAAGAGAGAAAAACGAGAGGGGAGACAGAGGGAGGAGAGGTATCTTCCATTTCCTACTCTCTCTCCTTCAAATGTATTTTAAAGCCTGTGTGATTGTGATTTATACATTCAGATTCGTTCTCCTGTCAAGGAGGGCTCTACCTGCCTCTGTCACACCTGAATGCTCCTACTGAAAATTTTCTTTGCCAGTAACAAAGGCATGAAAATGAAACATTCTTTTCTAACCTTCATTTTTAATAAGCAGTTTAGAGTAACAGCAAAACTACAATTCCATAGCCAATCCTGAGAAACCAAAGTGAACAAGGAATCAGATTTCCCTATAACACAAATTCTTCTGAAATTCTTAAAAGGAATCCTGCTCCCCTCTTTTTGGCAGTCTACAAGAATCTCTTCCTACCTCTGCAGTCTTTCTCTCCCTCCCTCTTCTCAGAACCAAGACAAAGAGGTAGACAAATCCCCACAGGGTCTTTCCTGAGCTACAGCTGCACAGTACAGGAAACAGGAATCTGCTATGGAGTTGAGGGAGGGGGAAGAAAGGATACGGATACATAACACACACATAAACGGACTCAACAGACACAGACTTTTCAGCTGATAACAATAAATCTGGTCTGTTCTAAGAAGACAATAATGATTAAAACTCTTCTTACTATACTCCACCCTCAAACCTTTATTTAGATCCCAGAGAGGAGAAAAGAAACATGCCGAGGAAGCACAAATCTTACCTGAGTTACCATTTTCTTTTTCTCCATAAACCAAACGGATAGATGATAAACCTTTCAAAGCAGCCGTGCTGGGGCACACCTCCACAGCTTTCTTTTCCACCCCCCTCCCCCCCCAATCTAGCTATTTAAGGGTGGGTAATTGATCTCTCTTTATACCGTTTTCCTTCCTTTTTCTTTCTAATGTTTCTTCCTTTCTTTTCTCTTCCTCTCTGGCAGTCTCTCCCCCTCCTTCTTTCTCCAGCTCCCTCCCATATCTCAGGCAGATGGCTGAAGGAAGCCCCACCCCTGAATGCCTAAGGTAATTAATCAGAGTAGAGCCCCACCTCTTCCTCCTCCCCCCACCCCCTCCCAGCAGGCTGACATCTCCCAACTCCAGAAGCAGGCCTGCTGGAGAATGGCAGTTTGGTGTACGCTGTGCGCACGCGTGTGTGCGTGTGTGCGTGTGTGTGTGTGTGTGTGTGTGTGTAGGGGGGAGGAGGTAGGGAGGGGCAAGCGCCATGTGCTGGCATATTTTAAGGATGCGATGATGGAATTAATTATATAGCACTGGAAGCATTCATAGCAGCTTACTATAGTTCATACAGATTTAAGAGATTCCAGCCATGAATGTCAAATAAGAAATGAAACAAAATTATTTTTAATATTAATAAAACATTTTTACTGATGTACAGTTTATAGATGCAGTGGATTTAACAAGAAAGATGTGAAGAAGTGAAAAGCTATTACATGACCACTAACTGGAAGGTTTTTCAAGGAACAGGAATATGCAAGAACTTGCTTGTCCTGGAAGACCAAACCAGCCTAGTGAGAGCAAAGGACTAAAAGAGAGGACACAGGTAATGAGAGGTAATTTAAATGATTTTTTTCCTACTATAAAAAATACCTGGAGACTCTGAAAAAGGTGTCTACAAATATGACTGCTTAAGAAACTTAAGAGATACACAAAGGTGCATGCAAATTTGCTTAAGGCTTCCAGCTTCAATAAAATTTTGGTTAACTGAAAATTCACCTTTTGTTTTCTCCAGCCTTCTATGTTTCAGCCTTTATTGAAAAAGGTAAATCCTTTCTTATATATACCCTAGAAATTTGTGTCATTATTGTAAATAGTAATTGTTATAGAATGCTGTAGCTACAGGTTTAGGAGAATACTGACAATAAGAGTTTCTTTAAAGTTCTCTTATTAAAATAATATAATTAAAAAATGCATCAAAGATGTGGTTCAGTCCAGAAGTTGGTCTAATTCTGCCCTTTACTAGTGATCTTGGAAAAATCTTTAACCTCTGAATATAAACTTCATAATTTCCCTATTTTATATTATCACACATTCAAATAAAACAATTTATAAAATGATGAGTTTATCAGTTGTCTCATAAAATTAAGATTTTCTAATTTTTTACAGCATTCTAATAAATAGCTCATTCTGAAGGATTTATGAGATATTTTAGTTATGCTATGTATTTTTAGGATATACTTTCTAAAAGACTACCCAAAGGTTAAAAAGATTAATTCCAAAATTAAGCTTCCCATTTTTAATTTTTATCTATTTTTATTTTTTACAAGCCCACGGCTAACAACACGAGCTCTCCATTTAAAAAATAAACATCTACAGAAATCTAAATTCAAAATAACAAATCACACTGAGAATACATAGTTTTTTGCTGTCTCCATAAGGACTGTTTGGCAACATGCAGTACCAGGCTTTTAAAAATGTTCTGTATTGGCCAGGCGCAGTGTCTCATACCTGTAATCCCAGCACTTTGGGAGGTTAAGGCTGGTGGATTTCTTGGGCCCAGAAGCTCAAGACCAGCCAAGGCAACATGGCAAATCCCTATCTCTATTGTGAATTCAATTTTTAAAATTTTAAAATTAAAAAAATGTGTTGTATAACACCATTGGCTGGCACACTGCCAATACAACATCATTACACCCGCTCCTAAATTAATAATCATTTTAACAATTCTGAAAGGAACACAGGAAATACAGGACCATCTGTGGAACCTGGAGAAACTGATGTAACATAGTATATCAGGCTCTATTCTGTGCATTTTACAGATATCTGTATACTTGTGGCATAATCCATAGTAATAATTTTAAAAAGAATGAGATCTTCAAATATTAGGAAAAACGCTGAGTAAAGTAATATAGATAAGTACTAGGCCTGTTCTTATTTAACACTTTTTAGAAGTGACCTGGAACACAGAATATATAGTACTCTCTGAATTTGCAACTGAAAAGCCAATCAGAAGGAGATAAAAAGCAGTCAAATTTTCTAAAGACAAAGTGAGTAAGCAGAAAATGGGCAGGTGAGTTTCACTGGAAGCAAGAGCAACCCAGTGTATTTTTGGAAAAAATCTTGAATCATACTAATGGGATAACTGTGTTTTCAGTTCTAATAATTGAAATAAACCTCAGAATCACTGTGTATCATTCTCTGAATCCTCTGGTTTATTACACTATTCTTGACAAAAAGCCTGGGGCACTAAGAAGATAGCATCTCCCCCACAATGTCCCCCGCCCCCATCCTTAGAAAAGCAGCAGCTACCTTGACACTTAGGTGTGACTGCAGCCTCCATACATCATGGAAAGAGACAAGGCCCCAAGGAGTTTTTTTGTTTTGTTTTATTTTGTTTTTAAAGAAAAGGGCAAATGAGGGGTCCCCACATGCAAAAAGTCCAAGACTAGGATAAAGGTTTCCTCAGGCCAGGAATTCATGCTACTTTTCTACATTTAGAACCAATATTTTACAGTGCAAATAGGCTTAAAAATTTATTACAGGAAAGAATTGGTACAAGCTTAAAAAAAATGTTACAATGATTTTTATAAACTCACTGAATGACAGGCTCATAGTGAGGTCTGACTGGCACAATGATATTTTGAAGTGTGTCCCTGGTATTATAGAGGACAATTTGCTCCCTGGTGTCCAAGAGAGAGAAGAGCAATTGAGCAGCCTGGGTCTGACCCAGCAAAACTGGAGTCCCCTGGTGGCTGAATGTGCCCGGTAATGTACCAAGGAGAAAATCATTTTAGGACATTTCCTGTATGTGTGTTTGGGAGGAGAGAGACAGGCAGGGGCTGGGAAGCTTTGGAACAGGGTGGGCACGATGAGATGTCAGCTAATGAAGGAGGCCCTGCCTTCTCCATGGACAAATCCCCAGCTTTCAGGACAGTGTCTGGGACGTGGTAAGTACTCAAGAAATATTTATTAAATAAACAAATGAAGGAAAGAGGTACTTCTCCCTGTAGTCTCAACTCTTTGAGTGTTTCATCCAATCTCCAGAACCCCAGCTTCCTTTCCTCCATACTACTCAATTGAAATTTACCTTACTGAAGTCACTGAAGACCTCCAAATCATGGCCAAATTTAATGGACATTTTATGTCTTCTTTGATTTGTCTGTGGTATTTGGCATTCCCTCCTTTGGGAAACTCTCACTCTTAACTTAAAATGATACCAGTCTTTCTTAACTTTCCTCTTTCCCTGTTCACCCTCTTCTCCATCGTACTCTTCTTCCTCCTCTACCATCCTCTCAATTGTTGTTGTTACTTGCAAGGTGTCATCCTCAGATCTCTTTTTACTGCACACCAGAGGTTCTTAACCCAAAGTGCATGGTTCCTAACACAGGCACCCCAGTAGAAATTTTTCTTATATGCATTTCCACGCAGAGAGGATCTGTAGTATTTATCAGATTCTCAAAAGGGTCCAAACCTCAAAGAAGTTAACATTGCTGACCACACTTGCTCAAGGTGTTCCAACTCATTCTATCACTTCAGTTACCAAGAATTTACCCTGACGGCTCCCACATTTCTATTTTTGAGCACATACATCTCTTCTGAACACCATGTTTCTATTCTTTTTCCCTTGAATATGGCCGACTATATGGGTTATTCATCCTTCAAGGCTTACTTCAGAAATCCCCTACTCCAGAAAGCCTTTCCTGACCCTACTTGCTCCCACATCTGGTTTAGGTACCCTTATCTGTGAGCATACTTTACCTTAGCACCTAATCCATGGTACATAACGGTTGGAGTTACTGTTCTGCATAACTATGACTAGACTATGAGCAGTCTGAGGGTAGAAATCATGTTTTATACTATATCCCCAGTTCTTAACCCAGTATCTGAATACACAGTAAATGAATGTTTGTTGAAATCAAACAATAATGCCTTGATTTCTATTACTCTAGCCATTTATTTATTCACACATGGATACATCAGAATGAAGAGCACCTATGTAGTTATCAAAATATTATAAAAGCATTCTTTCTTCCAAGAGCGCACTTGGAGATATCTTCAAATTTATAAATTTACTTCACTTTTTTTTTTGAGGTGGAGTCTCGCTCTGTTGCCCAGGCTGGAGTGCAGTGGCACGATCTCAGCTCACTGCAACCTCCACCTCCCAGGTTCAAGCGATTCTCCTGTCTCAGCCTCCCAAGTAGCTGGGATTACAGGCACACACCACCATGCCCGGCAGTTTTTTTTTTTTTTTTTTGCATTTTTAGTAGAGATATGTTTCACCATGTTGGCCAGGCTGGTCTTGAACTCCTGACCTCAGGTGATCCAACCGTCTTGGCCTCCCAAAGTGCTGGGATTACAGGCGTGAGCCACCGCGCCTGGCCTTACTTCAGTTTTATTTTCAGTATCTTTCAGAAATCTGAAGCTGAAAGGAAGATGTACAAAAAGAGTGGGAGAAAGGCTTTATTTTCAATTTTATTAGAATAGTTCAGATTCTAGACAAAATAATACCCACTCATTTAAAAAAAATTTTTTTTAGGTGTTCTTGTCATACAGAAGTAACTCAGCTTCCCTACCTTCCACCCACATACCAGCACTGCTATAAAAGTGGATCTAAGAGTCCCTGTCTACAAGGCAGGGCTTGCTCCAACTTTCCCAGGCTGCCTCTGACACCCAAGTGAAAGGCAACATTAAAGGGAGAGCATTTCCTGCAATAATAAAAACTTGTTGGTATAAAGGCTCTTCACGGCACGCCCCCACACAATAACCCTAACTAAGTGTAAATAACAATTTACACCTAACAGATATTAAATACCTTTCCAGAAGCACCTCTAATACAATACCACTTTAATATCCTTTGCCCCAACATTCCCCTTAACATAAATGAAGTCAAATTACAGCTAACTCTATTATTTCCCTAACTTTATTTCTCTAGTTTAGGCAGAGTTCAGTCATATAGAACCCATTCACCATTCAAAAAAAAAAAAAAGTGAGTGTGAAATTTGAAATCAAATGCTTTAGATCTTATAGGCTTATAAAAAACAATCCTCATTTATTTCCTGTTCCCCAAAGTCAAACCTTTAGCACAAAACCACAAATAACATAAACTAAGACATCAGTGAGGCCAGGCAAATCAAAAAATTTAATTCACAAATTACTACATGTCTTTGGGTAACTTATTCATATCTTTAAGAAATCCCAAACCCCAGATAACTAGAGTCATACATACAACTGAAATTATGTGTACATTGTACACATCCCTGTGAGGGATTAAGGAAAAGGTTCTCAGACAAATATGAAAATGGATGGGATGTAAACAAATTTATCAATAACTGGGTTGTCAAGAAGATAATACATGATTAATCTGTGAAAATTGAAGACTGCTCTTTATCCAACGGCATGCCACGAATATGCCATGCCTCTATTATTAAGTTACAGGAAACTTTGTTGTCTTGTTCACCACTAATATCCCTGTGTCTGGCATAGTATCTGGCACACAGTAGGTACTCAAAAAACAGTTGGTACACAATAAACTAATTCAGAATGAGAAAATAAATTCAATTTATATAAATTATATAAACTTGCATGTTAATATAATTATATAAACTATATAAGTATAAACTATACTTGCATATGTTAATATAATTACATACACTATATAAGTATAAACTTGCATGTTAATATAATTACATAAACTATATAAGTATAAACTATACTTGCATATGTTAATATAATTACATACACTATAATTATAAACTTGCATATGTTAATATAATTACATAAACTATATAAGTATAAACTATATAAGTTAATATAATTATATAACTATGTAAGTATAAACTATATAAGTTAATATAATTACACAAACTATATAAGTATAAACTATATAAGTAAATAAATTTATATAGTTGTGTGTGTGTGTGTGTGTGTGTGTGTGTGTGTGTGTGTACTGCTTAACACCAAGGTCAACTTCCCATGAAGAAATGGAGAGCCTAATATACTCTACAGCATTTTGAGGACCTGAGCATACCTCAATATCAAAAGTGTCCTTTAGGCTGGGCATAGTGGCTCACGCCTGTAATTTGGGAGGCCGAGGAGGTGGATCACCCGAGGATGGGAGTTCAAGACCAGCCTGACCAACATGGTGAAACCCTGTCTCTATTAAAAATACAAAAAAAAAAAAATTAGCTGGGTGTGGTGATGCCCACCTGTAATCCCAGCTACTTGGGAGGCTGAGGCAGGAGAACTGCTTGAACCCGGGAGGCAGACGTTGCAGTGAGCCGAGATAACACCACTGCACTCCAGCCTGGGTGACAAGAAAGAAACTCTGTTTCAAAAGAAAAAGTGTCCTTTAGATAGGTAAATTTCTGTCTCTCAATTTTCTAGATGCCTAATATCCTTAAGCTGTCCTTGGCTACCCTAAACCCTCAAATCAGGAAATTTAGCTATACCTCCAATAATTTAAGACCCTGTTTCCTCTTCCTCCAACTGCCCCATTCACCACTTGGATGACAGGTTAAGTAAAAGTGCCTAAGGAAAACCTGTGATAAAAGACAATACCCTTAACTTGCAACAAGTTACATTTTAACCATCTGATCAGAGGCAGTAAATGTTTAATCTGAAAGACTGTCTATAAGAATAACTTCAGGAACAGTTTCTTAAATAGATTTGTCTGGGCAGGGAGACTACATTCATTGTCCCTTAAATCACAAGCAAGCCTGTATCTCCTTACTCTGCCTGATTTTAAACTAATTTGGCCAGACTAGGTTCTACGAAAATTATAACTAATAAAATAATCATTTTCAATGGCACACTCTTAAAATAGGCATGATTTAGCAATGAAAGGTCAAGTACCTAAAATATTTTCGAACTTTCTGTTGAAGAGAACTCACTTTGTTTCATTAACTCAAAACTAGCAATTCTAGAAATAACTTAATTAAAAATAGATGTAAAACCTTTCATTAAAAGAAATACTGTTCAATCATGTCCTCCATAACGTCCAACTGTATAATGCATTAGTATGAAACTGCAAGCATTATGCAATGGAAAGCTTGGATTTAACTAAGCAAAAGAATATATAAAAGAAGCTAAAAACATTTTATAACTGTAGTTAAGAGTTTGGGTAGTAACCAACCATCTACTACTCATTTATAAATGCACTGAAAAAAACTGTTACTTTAAAAAAGTAATAAATAAGATTGTAAAATAGCTTGGGATCCTTCAATTTAAAATTGTTTTTTTTTAATCCCATTAGCTTTCCTATGTGGCAGAATGGAGAGTAAACCCTTAAATTTTAATATCCCATTACCTCCATTTCTAAACGACGTTAATTTCAGATAGAATAAACCTACAAATGGAGTAAAGCCAGGAAAGTGTAGTTTCAAATACTGTGCACTACATTTATCAGTACTAAATACTAATAACCAAAAAAATTGGGGGTGGAAAATTCATCTTATTATGAATATTGATTAGAATTTTGCTGCAAAAGACTTTCATCAAACCATGTCATAATTTCTGAACAGGAACTCTTTAATCCACCCCAAAATTGGGAGGGGGAGATGGTCAATTTCCTTCCTCAAAAAATTCAATTACATACTGTAATTATTTTTTCATATATGTCTAATACTTCAATTCACTTGGGAAACATTTTTACTTTTTCAACTTTTTCCTCAAAGAATTTTACTTATGTTATAGTTACTATAATTCCCATACTTTGCTGGTTGTGGGTCAGAAATTTACTGTTCACAGATGTTTCTCATTGAAAGCACATTAATATTTACTTGTAAAAAGACCTGGTTCTAATCTAGTCTCATAACACTTCCAGCCTTAAGCTGTTACAAAGCCCAAGCTATTGTTTTATGTCAGTAGAGATACAGTTCATAGATAAGTGAAATCCACAAATATATCAAAACCTCATTATCGTAAATATAAAATACTCTTAATTTGAATAATCCAAAATAACAGAAACAGTTATATCATTAATATAAAACATATAATATAGACCTCTATTAGAATATAGTTAAAGAGAAACATAATCACAGCCACTGCCATATGATTGCAATATTGATAGCTTTAGACTTGAATGAAAGCTGTAAGTTTACTCCAGAGAGCTTACCCAACAGGCCCAATCCAAAATAGCTTGGGCCTTTAGGCCCAAAATACCTAATAAGATGTACTAGTTAGTCCATTATTTCTTTTAACTCTATGCATTCCGGTCCAACCTGCAACATAGGTGCTAATTATTAGAGAAATGGCTATTTGAAAGAAAAAAATAATTAAAGGAACATGAAAACAAACTAAAACAAACTGACAGACCAAGTAGTATCTTTAATTCAGAATTAATTGTATTAACTGTATTTATTTTCTTATTCTAGGTTTCCATCACAATATTTCAAAAAATCATGATAGCTCAGAGGTCATCTGGCCCAACTCCTTCATTTTATATACAACAAAACTAAAGTCAAGAAAAATTGAAGTTATTTGAGCATGAACATGGTGGTGGTTAACTCTATTGCTGGAACCAGAATCCAGGACTCCTAACTTCAATTTTTCTTACTATAAGATATTCAGAAATATGCTTGGCAATGACCTAACATTTTCTGATTCTAAATTTCAACAAGTTAACAAATAAGATGTTACTAATGTCATCACAAAATAGTCTAAAACGTTAGACTAAAAATAGTCTTAGTGGGGAAAGATGCCCTCTACTTTATATATTACCTTTCTGGAAAATACAACATTTGGAAACTGCCAACTGTGCCTCTCATCTGCTCAAAACAAAGCCTAAAGTTTATCATAATATGATGGGTTTTTTACATTACATTTATATTGTCCAGCCCACCTGGTTCAAAACACACACACACACATACACACACAAACACACACACACACACACACACACACACACACACAGACACACAGAATCTCTCCAAAGTTTCAGAACTTCTAGGGGTGAATGCCAACCACCTTTGTCTGGCCGCCAATACTATAAATTAAATCCTCTTATTACAGTAAATTAGCAAAAAGCACTGGGAAAGCTAGGCTCTGAATGGTACCGGGTCAAAAGACAGAAAGCCTTGTAGGCATTTCATTCCACCATAAAGCTTCACATAAATCAAACAGTATCTAGAAATTATAACCCTTAGCTTACCTGGACAACAGGATATTGATAATCCATACAATATACACCATACATAGCAAAAGGGAAAAAATCTTCAGATAAGGACAGTACAAAAAGTGTCTAAGTTTTTGCCTTGTTTGCGCTGGCTGTCCTGTCCAAAGGAACTAGGTAGCACCAAAAAAATCCTTCGCTGACCTCCAGTCTACGCAGATAGGTATGCTGGCTCAGCTGATGAAGTCGGAGCTTGGTTGAGACCAGGCCTCCACCCCAACAGGATTTGACAATACACAGAAGAGATGTTCAGAAAAAAGCAAAAAGCTTTGAGTTACTAGTTACAGACTGAAAACTACACTGGAGATTTGCTGTTACTGTTGGTTTTTAAATTGACAACTCAACCAGAAACTCAAGAGGCAGAGAATGACAGCCAGGGAAGGGAACACAGGCTCCTCACACTGGCACACAAACACGGTAGGAAGTCTAAGGTATCCAGGAGCCAAAATAATATATATGTTCCAGGCTTTAAGTGCGTCAGAGAATACTCCCAATCCAGGACACAGAAAGGCAGATGGGACTGGTATTACTACTCTATTCTTTCTTGGGCGGGGAGCATGTACCCGTGTGCACGCATGCGCATTCTCTGTCTCTCTCTCATACACACACACACACACACACACACACACACACACACACACACCCTTCTCACTGTCTCCGGCAGAGACAGGTGTTAGGATTAACAGTATAAAACCTTTCTGCCACGGAAAGGAATGGGAGAAAAAAGTCACACTGATACACGCAGTAAGGGGATCCCTTTCATGACACTGTATGTTTTTGTATCATTTAACACCTCCCTCGCTGTGCTTTAACAGAGGTTAGGACAGCTGGCAGGATCAGCACTAGAAAAGAAGAAAGTGGCCCCAACTCTGAGGCAACATGAGTCCACTGGAGGCCTCCAGATATGCAGGGTACACTTGCTCAGCTGTTCCAGTCAAACTTGGAAGGATTAACTCCGGCTGTCTGCAAAAAGGTGGGGGTGGAAAGGTCTTTTCAGAAAAGCCAGTTGCTTTTCTCCTTTTAGGGAGCTGCTATACCCACCCTGCCATTATATACAAATACACATGTGCACACATATTTCTATAACAGATATTAAAAGCAGTAACAAACATGGACAGGTGTTAGGTTTGTCTGACAAAGCACAATAGGTTCAAGAGTTGGCTTTCAGAGCCTAAATGGCCCATCAAAAATCAGAAAACTGCTAAGTAATCCTTAGAAAAAGGACACAGAGTGAGCAGAAAGTGAAAATTAATGTTTATTAAAAGACAAACCAGTTGTAACTATTGATCCTACGAAATCTTCTATTTGGAACAAGCATTCAAAATTTCAAAATGGTAAATAATTCTAAATAAGTTTCAGGGGCTATGACGTCCCTAATCGTGGAGAGCCAGTAATATTGTAACATGCTTTTGGATGATTAAACCATGAGGATTAAATGCAACTGTGAGGGCATCTGTGAGAATTTAAGTATTACCATGCCCTCCATGCCCCGCCCCCATCAGTGTAATTCTTCTCCTTTTACGGTCACTGTAATTTATTTTAGGATTGTTCAGAAGAAACAGATTTTTAAGAGTCAAAATGGCTATAGCATATTTTGATGGTATTCTTGGTTAAACATTTACCTGAACTCAGTTCTAACAGATTAGGAGGACCACTATACTCGATTATCTTCAATTTGCTGGTACTGATTCTATGTGCATTACACATGAAGAACAAGAATAAATCTATTCAGTATAATTAATAAAACATTTATTGAACATCTATTGCAGACAAAATATTGTACTAAGCCCTGGAGAAATGAACACAGTTCTGTTGTCAATGAATTCACAGTTTATGGGAGAAATAGATAAGGACACAGGCAAAGCCAAAAAGCAAAACAATGCTACAGCACAAAACTAAATATTGTAAGCAACTTCTCATACATGGAAAAACATTTTTTAAAAATTACTCTTGGCCGGGTGGTGTGGCTCACACCTGTAATCCCAACACTTTGGGAGGCTGAGGCAGGGGGATCACTTGAGGTCAGGAGTTCGAGACCAGCCTGGCTAACATGGCAAAACCCTGTCTCTATTAAAAATACAAAAATTAGCTGGGCGTGGTGGCATGCACCCTGTAATCCCAGCTACTTGGGAGGCTGAGGCAGGAGAATTGCTTGAACCCAGGAGGCGAAGGCTCACCACCGCAGCCGAGATCCCGCCACTGCACTCCAGCCTGGGCAACAGAGCAAAACTCCATCTCAAAAAAAAAAAAAAAAGTTGCTCTTAATACACAGTTTTATAGTCTCTCTCACCATTAGAACTATAAAACCCTACTTTGTCAATTCTTAACAGAGATTATCAAAGCCTCATAACATTTCAGATGTGCTTTGCCATACCTTAAGGGATTATAATATACAGTCAGCCCTCCTTATCCTTGGGTTACACATTTGTGAATTCAACCAACTGCAAACAAAATATTTGTGAAAAGCAATAAAAAAAACCCAATACTGTATAATAACAAAAATATAATACAAATTTTAAAGACAATAGTTATAATAATTATTTACATAGCATTTACATTGTTTTGGAAATTATAATTTAGAGATAATTTAAAGTCTACAAGAGGATGAACATAGGTTATATGCAAATACTACACCATTTTATATAAGAAACTTGAGCATCTGCCAATTTTGGTATCTGCAGGGGTGTGAGAGGGTGTATCCTGGTACCAATCTCCCACAGATATGAGAGGACTATATATTCTAACAGTCTCCTGTATAGGTATTAAAATGGTAATTAAGAAATAACAAAAGACTGGGTACAGCAGCATGTGCCTGTAGTCCCAGCTACTAGGGAGGATCATTTGGGCCAGGAGTTCAAGTCTAGCCTGGGCAACATAGTGACACCTTTCTTTTTAAAAAAAAAAAAAAAAAAAGAATGTTTCTGCAATAAAACCTTATGCTAAATTTCCTCTTCTAATCAAATCAAATAATTATTAATCCTTCTTCCTCCCTGTACACTTCTGTCATTTCATACATAGCAGTACAGCAGGATGGGCCACATATACACTTATAAGCTAGTATCTTAAATCACTATTAAATCTCCTAAGATTCTTCTTGATATGAAGACTGGAAAATGATGATATGTCTTATACATCATAAAAGGCTGTAATAATGAACTATGACTGACTAACTTAAACTTCAAGAGTTAACCCAGTTCAATATTTGGTGACTTAATTATAGAGGAAATTCCCAGATGCTGTTGTATTTAAGATGAAAGACTGTAATTCAAATCCTAAAACAACTGACATAATTTAAGCATGAAAGTGATCCCCAAATGTTATTGAAGGCCTAGTCAATTTCCAGAGAAAGATTTAAATTCTTCTAGACTATACATACAAGGTGAAAAGATACGACTGATGCATTATTAAATGAAAAAAATTGCCAGGCACAGTGGCTCATGCCTGTAATCCCAGCACTTTGGAAGGCCAAGGCGAGCGGATCACCTAAGGTCAGGAGTTTGAGACCAGCCTGGCCAACATGACGAAACTCCATCTCTACTAAAAATACAAAAATTAGCCGGGCGTGGTGGTGGGTGCCTGTAATCCCAGCTACTCAGGAGGCTCAGGTGGCAGAATCATCTAAACCTGGGAGGCTGAGGTTGCAGTGACCCGAGATCGTACCACTGCACTCCAGCCTGGGCAACAAAGTGAGCCTCTGTCTAAAAAAAAAAAAAAAAGAAAGAAAGAAAAATATTATGTTGTTTAATAATGTGTTATAGTTCTATATTTGTAAATGAAATTATATAGGGGTATGCATGCATGTATGAATCTATGTGTACATCAATCAATAAATTATGTATGTAATTAGACTTTGAAAAGCAGTGCTCCAAATAAAATGAAAAAACTAAAAAATTTATTGTGTAATTAGTTAAGCTTTTATTAAGTCACATATAAGTTAGACATGTATGTATATGTATACACATATACGTAATGTATTGGTTGACATACACACCAATATATGCCATATGTCCACACATTATATATACACATACCATTATATGCCATACATATACATATATATACACACGTGTGTGTGTGTGTGTGTGTGTGTGTGTGTGTGTGTGTGTGTGTGTAGCCATTAAGACAAAACTAGTACCTCCAGGCGGTGGAATGGGGTGGTGGCTGGTTTTCGCTTACTAATTTAGAGATAAATTTCCAATCGTTCATACACATTTAAATTAGCATTAACTGCTCCTATAATTTGTTAAAAGTTTAAAGGAACCAAAACAGATTTTACTTTCAATACAAGTACTTTAAAAATTATTAATATTCCCATGGTCTCTGATTTATATGACTAGGCCAGGCACGGTGGCTCACGCCTGTAATCTCAGCACTTTGGGAGGCCAAGGCAGGTGGATCACCTGAGGTCAGGTGTTCGAGACCAGCCTGACCAATGTGGTGAAACCCCTTCTCTGTTAAAAATACAAAAAATTAGCCAGGCATGGTGGTGCATGACTGTAATCCCAGCTACCTAGGAGGCTGAAGCTGGAGAACTGCTTGAATCTGGGAGGCGGAGGTTGCAGTGAGCCGAGACTGTGCCACTGCACTCCAGCCTGGGCAACGAAAGCAAAACTCTGTCTCTAATAATAATAATAATAATAATACGACCACATTTGCTTTACCTAACATAATGTGATAACTATAAACTCTCATTTAAGACTAGAGGATATAGGCTGGAAGCAGTGGCTCATGCCTATAATCCCAGCACTCTGGGAAGCTGAGTCAGGAGGATTGCTTGAGGCCTGGAGTTTGAGACCAGCCTGGTCAACATATTAAGACCCTGCCTATAGCCCCGCCCCAAAAAAATTAGCTGGGTATGGTGGCACACAGCATGTGCCTATACTCCCACCTACTTCGGAGGCTGAGGTGGGAGAATCACATAAACCCAGGAGGTCAAGGTTACAGTGAGTTATGATCATGCCACTGTACTCTAGCCTGGGCAACACAGCAAGACCCTGTCTCTTGAAAAAAAAAAAGACTAGAGGATATACACAATAAAGAATCTTAATCTTTAGATATATGATTAAGATATCTCACCTAGGTTCTGCTGAAACCATGCCCAGGTATAGCTTAAATCATCAGCTCTTCAGAAAAATGTCAAAATAATGTAATATTTGAATTATAACTCTTATACTTTATCTTGCCTTTTACCCATTTCTTTCTGTAAAATTTTTTTAATTGCTATAATTTGAAGACTAATAACTTAGTCAAACCAAAATTTGAAATAATACTGATGGAAAAAAAAAGGAGAATCTTTTACCTATAAGACAAAACACACTACAAAAAATCAAATTATAAACTTGAAAGGTTTCTCTCTCTTTTCTTGATATGGTCTTTCTTCAGAATAATGTAGCCTCAGTTATTAACAGAAAGAAATTCCATGCATGGATCAATAGCTCAACATCATTCTTTCAGTATTTTTCCCATTTATCAAAATGATTTTAAAAATAGAAACAAAAAATGAAAATATTTTCAACTCAGAAATTACTCCTGAGTCCCCTCCCTCATCAGAAAAGACTGGGTATTTCCTTAAAATTTTAAATAATATATTTACTCAAAAATTCTAGAAATAAAAAGACTAATTTTCCACAATAAACTCAAGAGTTATTGGCTGATGATGCCAATCTATTCCACTTTCAAGTTTACACTCTACAATATTATGGATGCTTTTATAGTATTAAAGTTCATGTGTCCTGATCAATAAAAAACATGAATTCAGAAAATAGTCCTTCATGTATATTTCCATACATCTCTTTAGCAAAGACATGCAATACCAATTCACTTTTTTTTTCTGAGACGGGGTCTCACTCTGTCACCCAGGTTGGAGTGCTATGGCACAATCTCAGCTCACTGCAACCTCTGCCTTCTAGGTTCAAGGATCCTCCCACTTCAACCTCCCAAGTAGATGGAACTACAGGCGCATGTCATGGCTCCTGGCTAATTTTTTCAACTTTTTTTGTAGACATGGAGCTTTGCCATGTTGCCCAGGCTGGTCTTCAACTCCTGAGTTCAGGCGATCCACCTGCCTCAGCCTCCCAAAGTGCTGGGATTATGGGTGTGAGCCAGCATGCCCAGCCCCAATTCATTTTTCAACATAAGTTTTAACACTTGGGTCGGGCACAGTGGGTCACACCTGTAATCCCAGCCCACTGGGAGGCTCAGGCAGGCGGACTGCCTAAGTCAAAGAGTTCAAGACCAGCCTGGGCAACATGGCAAAGCTCCATCTCTACCCAGGCCTGGTGGCACATGCCTGTAGTCCCAGGTACTCGGGAGGCTGAGGTGGGAAGACTGCTTAAGCCTAGGAGGTGGAGGTTGCAGTGAGCTGAGATTGTGCCACTGAACTCGAGCCTAGGAGACAGAGTGAGACTCTGTCTCAGGAAGAAAAAAAAAAAAAGTTTCAACACTTAGCACACTTAGAATGTCTGTTGAACAGAAATTTAATGATATCAGGGAGAAACAGACCTAGACTTAGAAACAGACCTAGTTATTCAAAATCTAGACCTAGAAATAGACCTCGTATTTAAGAGTGAGATATTTAGAAATTATCATGAGATTTGTAAGGTTTAAGTTTTGCTAAGGATAAGGTAAATCAGTCTCATGCCAGAGGACATGGTTGATGATGCTGTAGTGTTATCTGTACACCGACATACAACCCTTGGGATCTCAAGACTTAGCAAGCACTGGTTAAGTTCAGTCAATCAAATTAACCAGAAAATATTTAAGATTCTTTTCCTCCTCTCCTATTCTCTCATTCCTGTTTTCTTCTCTCTTTTTCTTTCCCTTCTGCCCATGCCACAATCCTGCCAAATGTTTAAGGATATTAGCTATGCCTCAGGGTAGAATGCTTTAGCAAAGATTGCCGAGATTTCTGCCTGAGGTATAAATTTGGTTTTAGTCACAGTATTCTTAGAAGGTTCCAAAGATTCTATATTACCCTGTGCACCAGGGTAAGACAGAACTTCAAAAAGAGATAGGTCAGTTCTAGAGGCCAGGAGGGGAAAAAAAAAAAAAAAGAGCAAAAGAGCTAGGGCTTGAGCTGGAAGGATGAGGATGGGACAGGGGGTGGAGGAGGAAGATATATATGCAGGCAAAATATGTCATTAGAAATATGCAACACTGGGCCAGGCACGGTGGCTCACACCTGTAATCCTAGCACTTTGGGAGGCTGAGGCGGGTGGATTGCCTGAACTCAGGAGTTTGAGACCAGCTTGGGCAACACGGTGAAACCCATCTCTACTAAAATACAAAAAATTAGCCAGGCGTGGCCACGTGCGCCTGTAATCCCAACTACTCGGGAGGTTGAGGCAGGAGAATTGCCTGAACCCGGGAGGCAGAGGTTGCAGTGAGCCGAGATTGCACCACTGCACTCCAGCATGGGTGACAGAGCGAGACTCCGTCTCCAAAAGGAAAAAAAGAGAAAGAAATATGCAAGACTGACTGACTAAGGGATTGTGTGACCAGTTTACTTGACTATGGGTAGGTGGTGGCAAATGACAAGAAAAGTAGGTAGGTTCACTATGGAAGGACTAGGACATCCTGCTACGTATTTCAGATCTGATCTTTAAAGATTGAGCAAGAGGAAAAGAGTGCTACATAAATAACGTTTTGTGAAAATGGCTCTGGTGGCTGCAGGTAAGAATGAAAAAGGGAACAACCTAAAGGTGGGGAAACCAATTAGCAGCTACCATTACAAGAGGTTACAGATGACTAATGCAAAAAATACATATTAGCAGTAGGAATAAAGAAGGTATAGATATATAAGAGATGACGAAGACAACATCCACAGTAATTGAAGACTGTCCACATGTAGGGTATAAGAGAAAGGTTCTAATTCTAGCTAACTAGCCAAATAAGAATAACACTGCTAATACAGACAAATCTGAAGCATAAACTGGTTTGAAGTAATGGTAGAGAAGGTATAACAGGTACTCGGGGTTGAAGGTACAGCTAGAGGAGAGGTCAGGGTTAGACACGAAGATCAAAGAGAAAAGGAGAAATAGCCATGGCCATAATGGGGTTGAGATTCCTCTCCCACACTGATGCAGTCTGTAACATTTATTATACATCAACCATGTACTCCAAAAAAAGAAAAGTAGAGACAAAAGAAAAATGGGAGGTGGAGGGGAGACACAGACAGATAGAAGGCAAAGGCTGAAAATAGAACCTTGAGGAATCCTTGCTTCAAGAAGGCAGAAATAGAAACAGAGGATAAAAAGATTAAGCATAATCGTGTACTATTCACAAAAGCCAGGAATACAGAGGACATCTGTTTCTTTTCTTCGATCTCACATCCTTTATACTAGGGAAGGTATTTCATAAATTGATATCAGAGGTGAATATATAACAATGCCAAGTAGAAATCTAGAAAGGTTAAAGAAAATGAGAATTTAGAAATAAATGACTGAATTTAGCAAACAAGAGTTAAAGAGTTTTCAGAGCACTGTTTTAGTAATATGAGTAAAAAGAATGGTAGCAAACCTGATAAACTCATGGTCAGAATGAAAAATAGACAAAATGCCTGCATATAAATTTTAACAAACTTTCTATTGGGATACTTGATTTCCAAGTGGCAATAAAGTACAAAACCAATTATTGATACATTCAACTACCCACAGTTGCCTCTATCAAGGAGAATTTTTACTTTATTTTGTTTGGTTTTGGCCTCTGTGCCTTTGATCATGTTTTCTTACCCATTTCAAAATGCCCAAATCTTAAAAATGCTACCTTAAATGCCATCTGCTCCACAAAGCTCTTCCTGATTACCTCCAACTAGAAGTGATTTCTCTTTCCTCTGAACTTATATGGCATTCTCTATTTGTTTTTAGACATACTTATTTTATTGATTAGATGAATTCTCTAAGGATAGAACCTGTCCATCCATCTTCCTATTTCTCACAAATAATTAAGCTAAAGGCCAGGCACGGTGGCTCAGGCCTGTAATCCCAGCACTTTAGGAAGTCGAGGTGGGTGGATCATTTGAAGTCAGGAGTTCAAGACCAGCCTGGCCAACACGGTGAAACCCCAACTCTACTAAAAATACAAAAAATAGCTGGGCGTGGTGGTGGGCACCTGTAATCCTGGCTACTCAGGAGGCTGAGACAGGAGAATCGCTTGAACCCGGGAGGCGGAGGTGGCAGTGAACCGAGATCGTGCCACTGCACTCCAGCCTGGGCAACAAGAGTGAGACTCTGTCTCAAAAAAAAAAAAAAAAAAAAGAATTAAGCTAAAACAGTTTATACAGTATATGCTCATCAGTATATGAAAAGAGAAGGTCTGCAATAAATTCAAACTACAAATCAGAGGTAACTGAATGAATCACCACATACAGACCATCCCTAATTTGTTAGTCAGTCAATATTCATTCAATCATGATATCTTCAACATTGCATGAAGGCCTACAAACAGCAAAAACTATTCAAGAGCTGAAAATACAGGGGAGAAAAAGTAGAAAATAATACACACCAAAATACCATTCGATAAATGCCACGCTTATTCCAATATGGCTTGGGAGAAAATAAAGCAGCAATTGCTACTATAGCCACCACCACCACCATCTAATTTCTCAGGGTGAAGAAAACCCAGAAATATTTCACAAGCAATTAATGCTTAAAATGTACTTTAAAAAAACTAGCGGGAGTTTTCTAGATGGATTAGGGTGGTGGTGGGAAGCTTTGAGGCAGTGGAACAACTTTTCAAGTGCATAAAACAGCATAGCATACATGAAGCCATACCTACAGAAAGGCAGGCAGGTCAGCATACCCAAAAAAAGTCAAAAGCCTATTTAAAAATATCCATGGAAGAGTTCTATTGATTCTAAGGTACTGAGAAAATTGTAAGGCTTTCTACACCAATGGAAATCTTTAAATTATACCTACCAGAAAATAGCAAATCATAGTTAAGTATGGAAACACTCCTTTGCATGACACATGGTACAGAAAGGAAGTATGGGTAATAACAGAGTAAACCATGGAATGGCTGATATGCATTTCTGTTTTGGAATGAGAGACATGGCATACAAACTGTGAGGCAAGGAATTAGCAGTTTTGTTAAAAGTGTCATTCATAAATCAGTAAATGGATAGGACAATAGTTATTCACTTTTTGTTTTTAAGTTAGAGGCAGGGTTTTCACCATGTTGGCCAGGCTGGTCTCACACTCCTGACCTCAAGTGATCTACCCACCTCAGCCTCCCAAAGTGCTGGCATTACAGGCATGAGCCACTGTGCCTAGCCATTAGTTATTCACTTTAAATTTACAAGACAATATATAAAGGTTAAGGGGCAAAATGTAAAACTTTCAGAGCAGGAAATAATTTTAAATATTCTAATACTGTTAGGGAAACATACCTAAAAATAATTTCACATACATTATCTTATACAACAAAACTTTTTTCTCTCCATAATAACTTTTATCTCAACTAACTCATAATACCTTTTTGGTGAACTACAAAAAATTGGTCATAATATTTCACAGCTCCTCCATCAAGAAGTGGAATTTGTTTCTTCCACCCCTTGAATTTGGTCTTAGCTTTGTGACTCACATTGGTCTTGGGGATATTAGCAAATATCACACAAGCAGAGGCTTGACAGGTGCCTGTTCACTGAGGCTTGCCCTCTCTTGCTACTCTCTGGAACCCCGACACTACTGTGTGAAGAAGTGTGAAGGACGAGAGCAAGTGGAATACAGATGAACTGCTCCAGCTGAGCCCCCAGATCAACTAACCTGCCAACTGCCAGACATGAGAGTGAGGTTATCCTAGACCACTGAGGCTCAGCAAATGCGGCCAAGACTAAAACAATCACCCAAACTCCTGACCCGCAGAACTCTGAGCAAATAAATGATTAACACTTTGTTAAGCTATTAAGTTGTGGGAAAGTTTGTTACACAGCAAAACCTAACTGACACAATTTCATTGCATAACATGAAGATGTAAACCTCAATACTGACACCAACACCACACTGTCTGCAGGCTTTAAATCAGGCTGTGTTAGTCCTGCAACTTTGTTTTCCTTCTTCAAAGTTGTTTTGGCTATTCTAGGTCTTTGGCATTTCCATATGAGTTTTAGAATCAGCTTGTCAATTTCTACAAATATCTGGCTAAGATTCTGATTGGGATATACACTGAATCTACAGATCACTTTGGGGAGAATTAACATCCGAGAGAATTGAGTCTTTCTGACTATCAACACAGTATATCTCTCCACTTCATTCCACTATTCAAATAAAGGGTTTTTAAAGATTATGACTATCTTTTCTCTAGGCCTGTACTGAAATCGAATGCTATACCTGATGTTTGTAACACTTATCATTTCTTCTGAAGTCTGCTAGATCCCATAATACTCACATCCCTATAAGACTGTATGATACTGGTGTCAAGAGAGAAAAATAGATCAGTGAAACAGAATAGAAAGTCCAGAAATAGATCCACAGGTGCAAACGGAATTCAGTAGAGAAAGAACAGTCTTTTCAACAAATGGTGCTGACACAACTGGATGAAAAGAAACGAGATTTATACTTCTTTCCAAATACAAAACAACTCAAAATGGACCACATACCTAAAAATGTAAAAGATAAAACTGTAAAACTTCTAGGAGAAAACTTCTGTGACCTTGGATTAGGCAAAGATTTCTAAGCTATAACATTAAAAACATAATCCATAAAAGAACAATAAATTGGACTTCATTTAAAACTTCTGCTTATCAAAAGACACTGTGAGGAGAATAAAAAGACAAGCCACAACTGAGAGAAAATGCTTGCAAAGTATACACCTGATAAAGGACTTGTATTCAGAATATACAAGAACTCTCAAAATTCAACCATAAGAAACAAAACAACCCACGTTTTTTAAAAAATGGGCAAAAAAAATGAACACCTGATTAAAAGAAGATGGTAAATGAGATAGTAAACAAGCGCATGAAAAGAAGCTCAGTATCATTATTCACTAGGAAATTAGAACCTATTAGTATGATATCACTACATACCTATTTAAAAGACTTCGACAATACCAAGCTTTGGCAAGGCTATGGAGGAACCGAAAGTCTCATATGCTGCTGGTGGAATGTAAAATGGT
This sequence comes from Homo sapiens, assembly GCF_000001405.40. Taxonomy (NCBI): domain Eukaryota; kingdom Metazoa; phylum Chordata; class Mammalia; order Primates; family Hominidae; genus Homo; species Homo sapiens. The sequence goes on from NT_187630.1 coordinate 182,699, forward strand.
ATAACCAATGTGGAAACAGTTTAGCAAGTTCTTATAAATTCAAACACACACCTACCATATGATCTATCTATTCTAACTATTTACCCAAGAGAAAAAAGAACATATAAAGAATATGAATATGAATACTCATAAAAAATCTATTTGTCTGGCCTAAAACTGGAAACAATCCAAATATCCATCAACAGATAAGTAATAGTGATAAACAAATTGTCATATATCCACAATTACTACTACTTAGAAATAAAAATTAATGAACCACCAGTATATACAGTAACATGGATGAATTTCAAAATAATTATGCTGAGCGAAAGAAGCCACGCAAAACAGTACTTATTGTATGAGTCCATTTTTATACAATACTAGAAATTGCCAACTAATCAATAGTGACAGAAAGCAGATAAGCGGTTGCTTGGAGATGTGCTGGGGAGGTAAGAGCATATTGGGAGCACTACAAAGGGGCATGAGAAAACTTACGGAGATGATTCATATGTTAATTATCTTGGTTGTGGTGATTTCACGGGTATATACATATGCCAAAACCTAACAAATTAATTTTATATAGGTGCAGTTCATTGTATATCAATTATACCTCCATCGAGTTGTTAAAAAATTAAAATAATGAATTCTTGTCCCACTTAATGCAATGAATTTTTGAAGGGTTAGTTATTTTCTTTGGAGGGGGGGGGGAATGATAAAAGGAGATGGGGGAAAGGCATCCGTCTTCCCTAAAACACTACAGAAAAGGTCTTCTGAAAAGGAAGACTGGTAGCAAATTCCTTCTGATCAGTCTAGATTAGCCCCCTGCTAGAGAACCCCTTTAGCACGTGCATACATCCTCCTCACTTTGCCAGACATATCATCGTTTCTGTCTCTCCCACTTCAGGAGGGCAGGTACTACATAGTCCACCTTCTTCCTTAAAGTATCCCTAATACCTAGCAGAGTACCTGGTTGTAGTACACAAGCAACATCACATGTGGGTAAGAGTTCAGGCCTCTGTTAAGCCAGGCTACTTGATTCGAATCTTAGCTCCATAACTTCTTAGCTGTGTAATTTGAGAAAAGTTATTTAACACCTCTCTGCCTCAAGTTCTTCGTCTGGAAAAAGAAGATAATAATAGTACCTATCTCATGGGGCTGCTGTGATGACTAAATCAGTTGATATATGAATAGGCCTGGCATATACTGATTATTAAATTATAGTTGATGTTATCGGCGTCATTGCTGTCGTCGTCATCATCATTATCTCTGATAATTGAAGGACATTTAAAAGAGATTGAGAATTATCTGAATTACGAAGCTAAATCTATATCTGAGGAATAAGTGGCCTCAACAGCAGGCAGAAAGCATATAAAGAACTAGGTAACTGTGTTAGGAGGAGAAAAGTCAGCTGGGGGGCAGGGGAGAGCACCTACCCATACCTAGCACAGGGCATTTACGTTATTTTTGTAACATATTGTTGTTATTTTGTAAATATTTGTAACATTTTACAAAATATGTTATTTTTGCAAATATTTGTTATTTTGTAACATATTTATGTTATTTTTGTAAATTTATGTTACATTTCTGTAACATAAATCAAGTGAGAAGACTACCCTTGACCAAGAAGGGAATATCAATAAATAAAGGAGGAGAGAAAATTGAAGTGATTTTTATGCCAAAGCAAATTTCCTTAAGCACAAAGCAGGCAACATGTTCTCTCTTTAACAGTACCGAAAAACAATAAGAAGCCATTCTCTTGCGTTCAAAATAAAAAGCTAATCCAAAAAGGCGGCCAGGGTGTCTTGAGCGTGTACCTGCCCCTCTTCTTGGATTGTGTTCACTATGCTCATGCCTTACAGATGAGCTGTCAGGAATCTGACAGCTGCACCTGACTCTCATACCTACTGGGGATAGAGACAGGGCTCTAAGAGCAGCAATGTAGCAGTTGTGGGAATCCTTGGGTTAGCACTAGCCCCTTGATCCATTCAGACCTGTAATCTCTTCTGACTTTGATTTAATGCAGCAATTACTGGTAATGTGGTTTGAAGGAGATAAATGCCCAGTGTAGCCAGCTGTCGTTTACCCTGCTCACGATGCAAGAATATTTTTAAATTAAAATTCCCTTTATGATAAAGGAGCTGCTTCACTGAATGTTTCTGTGCAGCTCTGATATGGAACTTCCCCCAAAGCGGATTAGAAATCGAAGTTGCCCCTCCTCACTTCGGGCAAAGCATGCATATATACAATTACTCCAACACCTAAAGTGAGTTCCTTAACCCTAAATTTCCCATTTATACAATTAGATCCTGGTAAAAACTTCTTCTGCTTCTCAGATCAGTGTCAGCATTACATGATTTTCATTAATAATGATTCATCTGTTTTTGCAAACATATTCTCTTAATTTCCTTTTAAATTAATATGCAAAGTAAACATTCATAATCATATATGCATAAAAGACCTTTTTACCTATTTCACTTGGAAAAAATAAAGTACAGCTGAACATAAAATATCAAAAAATAAAGCCAGTTTTATTTTAACTCATAATACAATGTTTTGCTACACTTTTTATATCTAGGAATCTGAGTAATTAAGTCATAAGTGAAATAAACATAGAAGGGTTCATAGTACCTACCAGGGTTTTTTCCCCATGACCTGAAACCACTATAATATAGCAATTTAAGGAATTTACATAAGTTACTCAGTCCAGGTCAAAACTGTATAATGTGGGCAAATCAGTTGAAAACAATGATGACAACCACCACCCAATAACTAGAGGGAACATAATCATGTGAGGCCCCAAAGGTGAACATTTGGTACAGGTTTACTGGTTGCTGAATCAATCAATAAAAGTTTTGATCTAATTCTCAAACTTCCCACCCCCAAAAGTAGAAATAAGAAAAATAATAACTTATACTTAGGATCTATTACTTTGATTGCTTGGAGAGGATGGTCACTGACAATTATCCTTTGAGAAATGAAAGAAACAGAGCACAAGGTCTGAATCAGTTATATTGTGCAAAGTAGAAACAGTGACTTAAGACCAAATGTGTATTTTCTTTTCCTAATGCACACAGCACCAGTTCAGGGCAAAGGTCAAAAGCTAAGAAATGACTTTTTGTTCCACTATTAGAAAGCAGTGTCTCCATTGCAATTAATTCATCCAATATTTTTTGACTAAGAGCTTCTAAACTGAAATAACATCCCACTTTCAGAAGAGTGCCATATGCCTTCTCAGGAAATCCAAGGCTAAGACTAGATTCCCTCTCAGGAGGCCCTGCCAAGACCTACTTTAATCTTAGGTTTAAGAATACAGAACTGATGTCATCCTTGCAATACTAATGCTACTCTGCAGAAGTATTCATGGGTCTTTGGCTCTCTTTGAGAAAACTGATCTTCTCTTTCATAGAAAGATAGATAACTTTGGAAAAATAACTGTATGAATATATACTACATACATGGATGGATGGATGGATGGATGTATATCTCGGCCCTTGGAAAAAAAGCCTGGCATGATTAATAAGATTAAAGAGGGATTTAGGATAAATAAGATGAAAGTTAGTATGATCCTTACAGGATTAAACCCTAAATCCTAGTATGAATCCAATGAGTTTTTAAGATCAACACCATATAACAGGATTAAATCAATAGCCACTTTTGTTTTATATTGAAAACAATCATAGTTGGTAACACCAGGCCTATAGCACCAATTCCTCAGTTAAACACTGAGGAGTTCAGGACTAAACAGGGGCTTTTCCTCTGACTAGGCTTGGTGACTGCCCTACCTACACAGGTCCAAAAACCCGTATCTTTAATTCCAGCGTTCAAAAAGCCTGGAAAACTAAGTTTCTTTCTTCACCATCCTTTTCCCCTCCCCCATCTTTATTATTATTTTTTTTTGATGGTGATAGAAGAGGGATTCACTTTGATAGAAGAGGGATTCACTTAGTGACAAATGTGACCTAAACTAGTGTGGATATAACAATATTATGGTGTGAATATTCAAAAACATTTAGCTGCAAATAGATGAGTATGATTACACAGTGTTGCCTCTTACCCAAATACTGGTGGTTAGCCTAATATAGGGTACATGTATTGCATATTCTTTCTAAAACCCAAAAGATTCCAAATGATAATACATATCTGGCTTCCAGAGTTTCAGATAAAGGACTGTTGTGTTGTTCTTTAGCTAAAAAAAAGGCAGCTATGCCATGAATAACAGCAAATCAAGGAAAAAAATTAAAATTGTTAACACAATAAGCAACAACATGCCAAATATTGGCTATCACACTGTAGCCAGTGTGTCTAAGATGGATATGCACTGGGGATAAATTAGAAGACACAGAGATCCAGCTGGAACTACATATGCTACAGATTGATAATTACATTTTAATAACTAGAAAAATAGTATATTTTAAGTAAAATTTCTCAAAAGGTTGGTTTAGGGGTAAGCTTTTAAAACCTGCCATCAATCAAAAGCAAACAATAACAAAAGACTTTTGGGGGTATACCAGAAAAGACAACGTGAAGGTTTATTCAAACTGCATAATTAAATATGTATTTCCTAAATACCTTTGTAGTCTTATGATTCTTAGAATTTTAATTCCTAAAATAAACACAGAAAGGCAATTTGGAACATAATATATACGCCATTTTTTTGAAAGTGCATACATTAATTTTCAAACTCATTTATATTTATTAATTTCAAACAATTTATCTTGGAATATTTATATTTATGCATTAATTTACACACATGCATCTCTTTGATAGACATACTATTATTTAATTAACATAAAACAAAACTACAGACTTCTGCTTCCAGGAAGATGGAATACACATACTTTTCCCTATCCCTCCCACTAAGTACAATTTAAAACCCTAGACATTTCATATATTAAACATAAGATGACTCCTCAAAGGTTGAAAGAAGCAAGAAAACTAGACAGGGTGGTGAGTTCCTTGGGTTTTCTTCTTGCCTCATGTAGCCCAGACTTGCAACTAAAGGACCCAGAAACACCAACAGGCACTGACAAAAAAAAGCCCCCAGTGAAAGGCTCCTCTCAGCCAAAGAACAAGAAAAGGGGTGGCCTAGCAAGACAGAAAACATGCAGGCTGCCTTAATCCAGCCAAATACCACTTCACTCCCACTCACGCCAGGAAAGGCCAAGTGAGGAGCCTTCACTTCTACCCTGGCCAGGCTCTAACCAGGAGTCTCAACATCCCCATCCAAGAAATATCACAGAATTAGAGAGCCCTTGGAGCCCTACAGAATGTGTAACAGTATCTACGTTCAATGTCTTGATTTCATAACTGCATTGTGGTTATGTAAGAAAACGCCTTTATTCTTAGAAAATAAATATGAAATTATCTAAGACTGAAGGGATTTTATATGCACACACATGCACACACACACACACTTAAAACGTACTTTCAAATGGTTCAGAAAAAAAGAGAATAGTACAGCAAATGTGGCAAAATGATAAAGAAAAGAACCTTTTAAGGTTAACAGATATATTCACTACCTTTCCTGTGATTGTGTCACAAGTAGTTTGCCTATGTCAAAATTCCATCAAATACCACACTTGAAACATTTGCATGAATCTACAATTATCTCAAAACAAAGTTTAATGAAAACAAAATCTACTTGGCACTGAAATCCAGAATAATATGAGTACATCTGCCAGCAGTTTTATATTTTGATGTCACCCAGAATGCCATAAAGTGATGACACCTAATGTTTGTAATGATTATATCATGTATTTCTTCCTTTGGAGTTACCAAATCATTGTATGGGCTTTACAATGTATTCTTTGCGTTTACTAGACACACAATTGCTCACACCATAGGACAAAATCAGTATGCAGAAACCACCTTGTAATAGCCTTTTTAATTTGTTATTCATGTTTCTTAAATATACTAACTAAATATTGTTGCTTTGGTAAGGGTTACCAGAACTTAAAGAGATGGGCCCTCTGTAAGTAAGTTTGATTAGCTTTTTAAAATTAGCATTCTTTGAAAACTATTTTATGAAGAAAAAATTAAGGGCTCCCATCTTCCATTTGACCATCAGTTCTACAATTTAAAATTTTTTTAAATTTTTTCTTTTTTACCTCCAGAGGAAGTTCCCTTGAATCCTCTTAGCCAAAAACAAAATATGACTATCAAACAAAAGACATAAACACTTTTAGATATGATTAATTGCCAACGTAATATCCAACACAGCATATCACACCACTTTTTAAAAACCAGTTCTGCCAGGCACAGTGGCTCACACTTGTAATCTCAGCACTTTGGGAGGCTGAGGTGGGAGGATCCCTTGAGCCTAGGAGTTCGAGACCAGCCTGGGCAACATGGCAAAACCCTAACTCTACTAAAAATACAAAAAATTAGCTGGGTGTGGTGGTGTGAGCCTGTAGTCCCAGCTACTCAGGCGACTGAGGCAGAGAAAAACCTGAGCCCAGAAAGTTGAGGCTGTAGTGAGCCACAATGGCACCACTGCACTCCAGCCTGAGCAATGGGACCTGGGTGACAGGAATGACATGCTGTCTCAAAAATAAATAAACAAATATAAAAACCAGTTTTTATATTACCTATATAAACTATTGGAACTTAAGAAAAATTAGGATAGAAATTTTGGCTTGAATCAAATAAGGACCAATACTAATATGTAGAACCTTCATAGAAAGTGTAGGTTAACACCATAGTGCTTGTTACTTCCCATTTTAAACAGCAAAAGTGAGAAAGGATCTATCACAGATACTTTTGGAATAATCTTTTTAAAATAAGATAATAGGCAGGCGTGGTGGCTGACACCTGTAATCCTACCAATCTGGGAGGCCAAGGTGGGAGGACTGCTTCAGCCCAGGAGTTCAAGACCAGCCTGGACAACATAGTCAGGCCCTGTCTCTATTTTAAAAAAAAAAAAATTAAAAACTAGCCAGGTGTGGTGGCACGTGCCAAGTTTCCACTAAGTATGGGCACTAGTTAATGTATTCTTAATATGGTTGAGCTTCACAAGGCCCATGATCTCCTGAAAACTGTGTTGCAAAATGTTGTAAATACGTACACTGTTCTGGGGACCTAGTCCAGAGATTTCATTAAATTCTCAAAGATGTTCGAGACTCAAAATAAAGATTAAGAAACAACAGGCCAGAAATTAACAAGGTCATGAGACAATTCCTTCTTTAAGGTATTGTTCCATTTAAACACACCTATCTTTCCTTGGCAAACAATCATTACTTCTAGTTTAGGTATTTCCCCCCAAGTCTACTTCCTAATGCTACCTCTTTTGAATGTTTTCCTTTGGTTAAAGGGCTTTACCTTTATTTCTAACCCTCAACTGCTTTCACAGAAACCTCAATCCCTTTTTCTACTAAGGGCTAGGCCAGAGATCCAATTCCTAGGCTACCCCACCCCACTGTGATTCTTTCAAGTCAGGAACCAACTGACAAGAAAACATTCCAGCTCCAACACATTCCAACTGTCTTACTAAAGGGGCTAGTCCACTAAGAAAGACTTCTGTGGGGTTTTGTTGTTTGTTGTGGTGCGATCTCGGCTCACTGCAACCTGCTTCCTGGGTTCAAGCGATTCTCTGCCTCAGCCTCCCTAGTAGCTGGGATTACAGGCACCCACCGCCACGCCTGGCTAATTTTTGTATTTTTAGTAAAGACAGGGTTTCACTTGTCCAGTCCAGGCTGGTCTGGAACTCCTGACCTCAAGTGATTTACCTGCCTCAGCCTCCCAAAATGCTGGGATTACAGGCATGAGCCACCACACCCAGCCAACGGCTGACCAAAAAAAAAAAAAAAAAAAAAAAAAAAAAAAAAAAATGTAGACAGGGTCTCAATATGTTGTCCAAGCTTGTCTGGAACTCCTGGCCTCAAGCCATCTTCCCACTTCAGCTTCTGAAAGTGCTGGGATTCTAGGCGTGAGCCTTTTGATGTTGTTTTTTCTTTAAACAGTTGTTTAAGCTAATCTGGTTCAAGTCCTCAGGAGAAAATCTTGGGTCAAGAATATATTGCCCCTTATGGTCATGTCCAAATTTTTCTCAAGTCATCCCTCATCTTTTAGTCTGAAGAAGCTCTAATGACATACTTCTACTGCAGACTTACCAAAGTGGAAATTCTTTTAGTCACTGTGAGAAAATGAGAGACTCTAAACCTGTGTTTTTAACCATTTTAAAAACCTTTATCATATTTACTTTTATCTTCTGAAACTTTCATCAACCCAGAATAGCACGTACAACCTACTTTCTGAAATGTTTATTATGAGTTAGAGGTTTAAATTTTTTTGAACTATACAGTCTCTTACTCTAACACTGAATTCTGATTTATACCTCCCTCTCATTTCTGATTGAGATCATGGCTCTAAACATACAGAATGTAAATATGGACTTTTGTGGCAAGGCCCTTTCAAAAGGTTCAAAATAGTAGTCTATATGCAAAAGAAAAAGTATAACAGAAAAGGGGTTTGCAGTCACTGCTGTGTCATTAGAGAAACAATAAAATTGGAACGCAGGAGGCCCAGGAGTTTCTATTTAAAAACAGTCATGGTTGGGCACGGTGGCTCATGCTTGCCATCCCAGCACTTTGGGAGGCTGAGGCAGGCAGATCATGAGGTCAGGAGTTTGAGACCAGCCTGGCCAACAGAGTGAAATCCCATCTCTACTAAAAATACAAAAATTAGCTGAGGAGGCTGAGGCAGGTGAATTGCTTGAACCCAGGAGGTGGAGGCTGCAGTGAGCCGAGATTGCACCACTGCACTCCAGCCTGGGTGACAGAGCTAGACTCCATCTCAAAACATAAATAAACAAACAAACAAATAAATAAAAAGTCATGTGATAATCAAAATACACAGAAGTATACTGAAAATATCTGGATCACATTATGAACATCAACTATATTGCAGGAATACTTGCAGACAATATAGATTTGGCTTGATTTATATAGAACATATGCTTTCTGGATAAGTGGCTGATAAAAGCAGGTCTCAATTTCCTGCCAAAACAGTGGGGTATATTATATTTTTAGGTTCTGACTCCCAGTCATTTGAACTTTCAGGATCTGTTTGGAGACAACAAGCAGCAGTCTAATGAACTATATTCGTTGGACTTTTTACTCAGGGATGAGTAAAAAATGTCATTTGGTCCACTAACCATTTGTCCATTGAGAAACATGACTACACATGACATGAAATTTAAAGAAAACAATTCACTGGGGCTCTCAATGTATTCTGGATTGCCTCTGTATTATTTTAAAATCTTTGCCACATTAGAATTAGCACCATATCCACACTCCCCTCATTTTTCTTGCTTCCATTTAGTTCTATACTTTTGAAACTGCCCACTTAAAAGGTTTACTCTTGTCCTTGCTTCTTCATGCCAGCTGGCTCCTACTCAGCAGTATCCTGGGTTGGTATGTTGGCTACCACCCTTGAAAGATATTCTAAAAGGTCACTATTTTCATTTATGCTAATTACCTGGGGAGAGACAGATGAATGGAAACGCAACTTTGACAGTGCATAAACATGTTTCCAAGACCTATGCTCTAAAATATTATATAATCGGGTTTTCCCAAGTAATGTGTACTCTATGGTTGGAGGAAAGGGGAACAAAAGAAATGTGAAGGTGAGAGAAGGGAATAGAGGAAACTAGGAAGCTCTGATGGTCCGAAGCAGAAGGAAAGGCATTCTGAAAAACAGTTCAGAGGAGCTTCAGACTGCATAACCTCAATATGCAACAATGGAAATACAGGGAAATGGTGAAGTCCTGGGTACAGAAATTATGAAACTAAAATAAAGGCTGTTCAAGGTAGAAACTGGGAAAAGACTTATTATGTGCTGCAGATGGAGGTCAAGATCCAAATGGTCAGGTCTTAAGAATATATCAGACTAGCTTAATCTGAGCTGTTCTTATTCAAGGGCTTTGGTGTAAGATGACAAGGCATGGTCTCACTTTTCCTAGCCACATGGAAAGGAATACCATCAAACTCAAAGCAAAAAAGGAATTGGGATCCAGTAAGCTCAAAAGAGGCACTGACAAAAAATGGCTGAGGGTTCAGAGTTGGCTCAGGTTCCAAGAGAAACTAGAGTGCCACCATGCACCAAGGCAAGAAGACCAGGTGAGTAGACTAGCCAATTTAATAAGGGTAATGTTTAACCCCTGGTACATGGGTAATGAGGTATCGAATTATTTGAAAAACCAGCTGACTACTGGCGAGGCAAGCTCCTTAACATAAGGTCAGATTAAACTCTCTAATTTAGAGCACAGAGATTCAAATTTGTAAAACCTCTGTATCCATAGCTGGGCAGGGCAAGGGTAGGCAAAGAATGACAATTTTAAGCAAGATGATGCTAGAGTTCAAATCAGTTCAGCATCTACCAAATCCTGACAAGTAAGTGCCCAGCACTGTACCAAGTGCTGCCTTTGAAGAGTTTACATAGCTAGAATGGCCTGTCCATTACTGGGGTTGCTCTTAGAATTCGACATGTTAATGACTGTAAAATGCTTGGTATTGAAACAGGAAAGGTTCTCTTGTTCCCCCTTGCTTCTTCAGTGCCCCGTTGCTCAAACCTCTAGGGGAGTATATAGACGGGCAGGCTGTGGGGCTCCGACCCCATGACAGTGTCTAGGGGTGAGAGTTTACAGCTCCTGAAGCCCCAGTGGGCATGTGTTATAGGGTGCTCTTTTAGTTTGCCGTCTATAGGCGACTTGTGTTAATCAGCTCAATCAGACCCTCTACCTTGTTGCAAGGACAGAGGGCTTTCTGTATCCCGGGTTCTTGCTTTGGTGTACCAGAAGAATTGGATCATACGTGGACTTGGACAATGAGTGCAAAGTTTTATTGAGTGGAAGGATTTTTCCACCAATGTGGGAGCCAGAAGGGAGATGGTTTAGCCCTAGAGTTCGGCTGCTCAGTGGCCTCGGCTCTCCTCCGACTGCCCCAGCCAAACTCCGCCTTGTCCCACCCGTCAATGGCCTGCCAGGGTGCTGACGTCTGTCGGTGTGCTCTTCTGCCGGCTTGCTCCCTTGACGTCCTCCCACCATCCAGCTGCTTGTATCTTCTTCAGCTGGTGTTCGTCTCTTGACATCTGGCTGCCTGTATGTCTGCCCGCTAGGGTCTCGGGTTTTTATAGGCCCAGGATGGGGGGCATGGCAGGCCAGGATGGTCTTGAAAAATGCAACACTTGGGCATGAAAGCTGGAGTGCCTCTACTCACCTAGGTCCATAGGAGTGGAGCCCTAGCCAGGGGTCACCTTTCTCTATCCAGCACTTCCCTGACCCCCTCCCGTAGCAGTATTAAGCCTGGCAAATAGTCGGCATTCAAAAATCAGTAGCTGATAATCAGCAACTTTATAATTATCACCACCATTATCTCAATACCCATTACCACACTGCAGAGATTAGAGAGTTTTAATTCTAAAAGAAACAGCTTTAAACTGCAAAATTTGTTACTGAATTGGTTGTTTCTTTTTTCTTTTTTTTGAGACACAGTCTTGCTGTCACCTAGTGCAGTGGCATGATCTCGGCTCACTGCAACCTTCGCCTCCCCAGTTCAAGCAATTCTCATGCCTTGGCCTCCCATGTATCTGGGATTACAGGTGTGTACCACCACGCCCAGCTGATTTTTGCATTTTTTGTAGAAACGGGGTCTCGTCATGTTGGCCAGGCTGGTCTCGAGCTCCTGACTTCAAGCAATCCACCCACCTCCCAAAGTGCTGAGATTACAGGCCACCACACCCGACCCTGAATGGGTTGTTTCTTAAGACTATGCCCAGCAGGCTAAGGATTTATACTAATGCTAGGGCAAGACTTCACCCCACTCATAGCGTAGTTCCTACAATAGTACTAGTGACAATGTTTCTGACAAACTTTCTCAATCAGTCATGCAAATATTAGTATCAACACAGTCTCCCATGCATGTCACCCCAATTTTTTACATCCTGTGAGTCAACTCTGTAGTTTGTTGTTGATATTCACAAAAGGAGAAAAGCCACTGCCACTGAGACTGCAGAACAACTAGATAAAAGTCTCACTTTGTTGCCTAGGTTGGAGTACAGTGGCAGGATCTTGGCTCACCGCAACTTCTGCCTCCCTGGTTGAAATGGTTATCATGCCTCAGTCTCTCATGTAGCTGGGATTACGGACAGGTGTCACCACGCCCAGCTAATTTTTTTTGTTATTTTTAGTAGAAGCAAGGTTTCTCCATATTACCCAGGTTGGTCTCGAACTCCTGGCCTCAAGTGCTCCACCCACCTCCCAGAGTGCTGGGATTACAAGAGTGAGCCATGGCGCCCGGCCATAACTACTTCCAAATGTCACAGATCAAAAGGGAGAAATTGGAAGGGATAGCACAAGGTCTTTCTTTCCCTGAAGAGTAAAAAATACACGACTGTCATCTCATCAATTCATACTTATTAACTGCCCATATGATGAATTAGATGCTTTAGTAAAGGCATACATGAAAAGCAGTATCACTAGTCTCCTCACAATTCTAAGAAATAATGCTGTGAGGAAACCTGCCTAGCGAAAGGCAGTAGACTACAGGAAAAGAAATCAAACACGCAACAAAGGTAAGGCATGTACAAGGCAATGTAAAAGGTACAAAGCAATTTACCTAGAGTAAGTTTAATTTAAAGGCTTTCAGTATGTTGAGCGGAAAAAAAAAATTCCGTCTACCTCCTAAACTTTTAAAGAGCTAATAAATCTAGTAAACTTACAAGTTGTCAAAAACATGTCCAATTCAGGAAAGGGGTGGATGGAGGCAGAAAACAACCTAAGACATAAAAAACATAAAGGAACAGAATGAAAGAAAAAGAAGGATGGTCAAAAACAGAAAGGAAATTTGACATAACAATCTTAAATATCTTAGGGAGGGAAGAAAATCTTAGGGAGAGAGGAAAATAAGGGAATGAAATGAACATGGAAGTAATAGTGATTAAGCTGGAATGCATCATAGCTATTAATGGGTTCAACATCTCTGTTTTACTGATAAATGAACTGTGGCCTAATGAGGTTAAGTAATTTCCTTGAGTTTGCACAGCTACATAGTAGCAAGTCTACCAAGGTGATTAACACACAGTAAATACTCAAATTATTTTATGAATTAAAAAGACAAGTGTTATGGACCAAGTGTTTGTGTCCCCCCAACTCCAAGTTCCTATGTTGAGGCCCTAACTCACCTCTTTGCACCCTGCCCACCCCTGTACCTGTATTAGGAGATGGAGCTTCTAAGGAAATAATTAATGTTAAGTAAGGTGGGGGTGATAGGGGAGTGGCACTGCTCCAATAGGATCATTGTCCTTAAAAGAGACACCAGAGAGCTTGCTCCCCTCCCCACTCCTGTCCCTATGCACAAAGAAGAGGTTGTGTGAGCACAAGACTAGATGGCAGTCACCTACAAGCCACAAGAGGAGGCTTCAGAATGAAATCTGCCTTGCTGGCTCCTTGGTCTTGGACTTCCAAGATCAATTTGCTGTTGGTTAAGCCACTCAGACTGTGGTAATTTGTGATAGCAGCCCTAGCAGACTAAGATAATGAGCATTAAAGTCTTCCGGCATTCAAAAGGAAAAGAAACAGAAAAGTAAAGGAAAGAGGGAGTGAGGTAATATTTATATTTTAGGTTTATTAAATAGTTAAACCTAAAATATATTACTTTTGTTTAATGGTGATTTGTACTCACTCACTCCCTCTTTACTTTTCTATTAGAGAATGAAAAGGGGGGCCACTGAGCCTCTGGCTAGGTTTAGTTTATGCAAAATTCCAGGTTACATTTCTAAAGCTTCCCTAAAGGTACCTACAGGTAGTAGAAACTCAAACTTTCATTCAATGAATGAGCGGTCAGAATCGATTCTGTACTTACAAAAGTAACATATCCTTTACCCACTCCCCAAACTATGCACCATCAACTGCGAATTAATAAATGCTCACAAGGGTGTGTGTGTGTGTGTGTGTGTGTGTGTGTGTGTGTGTGTGTGTGTGTGTGTGTGTGTGTCTTGTAGCCCATATGGTAAATATACAGACTACCCAGACTACCACACAAGAATCTGGACAAGTCCCGACTACCCTTTTCCAACCTGCCTATTCTCCTAGCGCCTCCTTATCCCCCTAGGAGTTTAGCCATCACATATTAAACTTTACATTTTATTGGGAAAACAAAGAAAACATTTTAACTAACAAATTTTAAGAAAGCTACATTTTGTTTTGTGAAATAGTAAAAAAATAAATAAATAAATAAAGCTTTATTGTCCAATTCTAATACAAATTTTGAAAGCTGTAGTTAAAATTTAGTTTACTTCTTAAGTCAAAGAGGTAAATCTTAAGAATTCAAAGGAAAATGAGAGTTACTGAAAAAATGCAAATCACCGATAAACAAAGGTAGAAATCTGATACTTTTAATTGTGTCTTATAGTGCTGTTCATTACCCAAATTGCTGGCAAATAGCATGGCCTTAATAACTGATGAATGAACGGGCTAAATATGTACTAGAAAAAGAAATGTGAACCCAGAACTTATAAATATGGTGGGGGGTACTTTTAAGTAGCATTTTTAAAATTTTTTTATTTTTTTTGAGATGGAGTCTTGCTCTGTCACCCAGGCTAGAGTGCAGTAGCACGATCTCGGCTCTCTGCAACCTCCACCTCCCAGGATCAAGGTATTCTCCTGCCTCAGCCTCCCAAGTAACTGAGATTACATTAAGTAGCATTTTAGTGGTCTTTATTTCTGAAATGTGCTCGGAAAAAAAGACTATACCGAGAAAAGGGAGCAAAAAGAGTACTGTTTTCCTTGTAACGTTTATTAATATATAATAGGCAGTACCACAGCTCATCTTACAGATGAAAGACCCTTAAAGCCTCAAAACAAAACTCCTTTAAACGGATGCCTAAATGGGTTCACTTCCTCTGCTCTGAAAAAGGGTATTGTAGTCATTCTATAATCTATCTAAAATTTACAAAATAAGTCATATTCTAAAAATGCATTTTTATTTCAGTTTTTTAGAACTCTGATCACATTCTCCCATTAAAAGAAACACACACACACACACACACACACACACACACACACACAGATTTATAAATGATGGCTGTGTTTCTAGACCAGATATCACAAGAACCTAGTAATCATGGGGAAAACGTTTGAGCACACTGTACCAGTAATGTACCTGAACTACTATCCATCTGAAATAAAAATAAACAAAAAACAAGATAGCTAAAATAGCAGAAAATTACAAATAATGCCAATGTAATTAAATAAGAGATACTTTTCCCCCAGATCACCTTGCACGTTGGTTGGTAGAAGACAAATTTAATCACTGACTAAGAAAGTAGAGACTTCTGTAGATTTAGAGGAAGGAGTAGGAGTACTTTCAAGGGTTTTAGTCACTGGTGCAACTTTTTAAAAAATAATTTCAATTTTATTTCAACACCTACTGCATTCCCATTTTCCCTGATACAAATGTAATTCTAGTCAATCAACCATAAATTAGGTAATTTTTTATTTGATAATGAAACAAAGACATGAAGATAAGGAAAAAGAAACAGCAAGATTTAGAACAGAATAGGGAAGCAAAAAGTAATGCTTAATAAGTACTTGCTAAAAGGACAGGAAGGGAGAAAGGAAGAGAAAAAAAAGAGGGGAAAATGTGGATATATAAAAGAATGCTATTAGTGTAAGTAAAGATTAAACAGTAGAAGAGAGAACTGGAGGTGAAGGGTAGAAAGGCAGACCTAACATACCCATGATATTTTTAAAGGAGAAAGAGACTTGGTGATAAGGAGGAGACCCTGAATCAGTTCTCAGTATTGCCACTCAGGAGTACAACAGACTCAGAACTGCTGGGATGGGTCTGAAACGGTAACAATCATAACTAACATATACTGAACATTTACTATGCACCAAGAACTGTTCTGAGAGCGTTACATGGCTCAAAACAACCCTCTGTGATAGATATTATGTTATTCTCATTTTACAGATGAGAAAGCATGGTAACTTATCCAATGTCATTCAGACAGAATGCATCAGAACCAGATTTGGACCCAGTTAATTTGGTTCCAAAGCTTGTGCCATTAAAGCACTACTGCCTCAATAGTACAAAGCACTGGTCCCTGCGATGTGAGAGAGAATAGCTGATGTCAGCTAGAGTTCTACCACTATAAATTCTATAGTTACTAAGTATTCCGTTACTGAAAAAAATCACAGGTAAAAAAACCTCTAGAATTTGACAAATATTTATTGAACACCATTCATTATTCTAGACACTGAAGATAATAGCAGCGAATACACCAGACAAAAAACTCTAAAAGAGGAGACAGGTGGGAAAAAAAGTTTTTATTTTACATACATATACATACTACTACTACTACTACTACACACACACACACACACACACACACACACACACACACACGGAGTTTGTTTTGTTTTTAAAGATACAGGGTCTCAAGCCAGGCGCAGTGGCTCACTCCTCTAATCCCAGCACTGTGGGAGGCCGAGGTTGGTGGATCCCCTAAGGTCAAGAGTTCAAGACCAGCCTGGCGAACACGGTGAAACCCTGTCTCTACTAAAAATACAAAAAATTAGCCGAGCATGGTGGTATGGACCTTTAAACCCAGCTACTCAGGAGGCTGAGGCTGGAGAATCACTTGAACCCAGGAGGCGATAGCTGCAGTGAGCCGAGATCATGTCATTGCACTCCAGCCTGGGTGACAAGAGTGAAACTCCATCTAAATAAATAATAAAATAAAATAAAGATACAGGGTCTCGCTCTGTCACCCAGGATGGAGTGCAGTCTGCACAATTAGAGCTCACTGCAGCTTTGACCTCCTGGGCTCAAGCAATCCTCTTGTCTCAACCTCCAAGTAGCCAGGACTACAGGTGCATGCCATCTCCCAAGCAGCTAGGACTACAGGTGTGTCCCACCAACCCTGGCTAATTTTTAAACTTGCTTTTGTAGAGATAGGGTACCACTATGTTGCCCATGCTGGTCTTGAACTCCTGGCCTCAAGGAGTTCCTCCCACCTTGGCCTCCCAAAGTCTTGGGATTATAGGGATAAACCACCATGCATGGCCTGTTTTTTTATTTTTTATTTATATTGTCACCCAGGCTGGAGTGCAGAGGCACGATCTCAGCTCACTGCAAGCTCCGCCTCCCAGGTTCACATCATTCTCCTGCCTCAGCCTCCAGAGTGGCTGGGACTACAGGCGCCCGCCACCACACCCGGCTAATTTTTTGTATTTTTAGTAGAGATGGGGTTTCACCATGTTAGCCAGGATGGTCTCAATCTCCTGACCTCGTGATCCACCCGCCTTGGCCTCCCAAAGTGCTGGGATTACAGGCATGAGCCACTGTGCCTGGCCGTATGGCCTGTTTTTATAATATTTAGAAGATAAATGCTATGAAAAATTTAAAGTAAAATGGCTTTCAAAAGGCCTTATTGAATAGGAAACATTTGAGCAAAAATTTGAAGGCCAGGAGGAAGACATGAGTATATCTGGAGAGAAGCATTACAGGCAGAAGAAACAAGTACAGTAAGCCCTCCATATTTGTGGGTTCTGCATCCCTGGATTCAACCAACCATGAATGGGAAATATTTGGGGCAGGAGAAATAATTCGTACTGGATATGTACAGTCTTTTTTTCCTTGTCACCGTAAATCGTGTTCCAGAAACAATATAACAGCTATTTACATAAAATTTACACTTCATTAGGTACTATAAACACTCCAGAGATTATTTAAAGTATACAGAAGAATATGTGTAGGTTATATGCAAATGCCACACTATTTTATATCAGGGACTTGAGCATCTGCGGATTTGGGTATCTTTAAGAGGCTCTGGAACCAACCCCCTCATGAATACCATGGAACAGCTGTACAAAGTGCCTGGCAAATTTGAGGAATGGCCAAAAGGCCTAAGTAGCTGTGAGAAATGAGAACAGGAGGAGATGAAAGTCAAACAAGTACCTAGGAGCAGGCTTGACTGGAGCCTTGTGGGGACTCTAGCTTTTCTTCTGAGCGAAACACATCAGTGGATTTTGTGCATGATCAGATTTATATTTTCAAAGGATTATGTCAGATGTTGTGATTAGAATAAATTCTTCAGTGTCAATAGTGGAGATAGCGAGACCAGGTAGCAGACTATTACAAAAACCTGGGCAAGAGAAGATGGAATACCGAACCAGGATAGAAGTGGCAGAGCTAGTAGGATGGGCACGGCAGCTCACGCCTATAATCCCAGCACTTTGAGAGGCCAAGGTCGGTGGATCACTTGAGGCCAGGAATTCGAGACCAGCATGGCCAACATGGCGAAACCCTGTCTCTACTAAAAATACAAAAATTAGCTAGGCATGGTGGCGCATACCTGTAATCCCAGCTACTCAGGTAGCCGACTCACAAGAATCGCTTGAACCTGAGAGGCGGAGGTTGCAGTGAGCCAGATCATGCCACGGCACTGCAGCCTGGGCGACAGAGCGAGACTGAGGAAAAAAAAAAAAGGAAGAAGAGCTAGTATGGATTGAATTTAGGTTATTTTTGAAAGGCAGAACCTAAAGGATTTGCTAATTAACAGGACCGCAGTGAGGGAGAAAGAGGAGTCCAGGATGACTAAGGTTTTTTTTAGCTCAAGTAACAGAAAGATGTCATTATCTGAGAAGAAGAAAACTGTGGGTTTAGCAAGTCTGAGGGCAGAGGAAGGCAAGTAAAGGCCAGGAGCTCAGCTTTGGACATGTCAAGTTTGAGGTAACTATTATATTACAGATGGAAATGTCAAGTAGGCAGTTAGATATGAGCTTCTAGAGAGAGTTCTAGCTAGAGGTATACATTTGAGAGCCAAGAACATACAGACAGAATTTAACACCCAGTGTATCATCAGAGTCCACTGGGCCCAACTTTTCTTTTCAAGCAGTTCAGTTCTACCTGTAAGAATTTATACTTTATGATTTTTCTTTCTTAGAGGTATTCCAAAAAGAAAACAGAAAAACGAAATTGTTACTTTAAAAATAAACTATTTTATCTTGTAATAATACATGTATTCCTTGGACCCTTTTATAAACCTAAGATTCACTGTGAAATTTTAGAAGATCTTTATTTTTCCTACATCTTGAAACATTCTGACTTTTCAGCAACTTTTACTTTTTAACTATTCCCAGCCATGGAAGGAAGGGAGGGAGGGAGGGAAGGAAGAAAGGAGGGATAGGCAAAAAGGACAAAAACCATGAGGTATTATAAAAGGGATTAAAAGATATAGACAGCATTCAAATGTGATTGATGGTTACTGTAGGGGTAATATCTAATTAGTTGCATGAAACTTTGACAGCTGGGCATGGTGGCTCACGCCTGTAATCCCAGCACTTTGGGAGGCTGAGGTGGGCGGATCACGAGGTCAGGAGATGGAGACCATCCTGGCTAACATGGTGAAACCCCGTCTCTACTAAAAATACAAAAATATTAGCTGGGCGTGGTGGCGGGCGCCTGTAGTCCAGCCACTCTGGAGGCTGAGGCAGGAGAATGGCGTGAACCTGGGAGGCGGAGCTTGCAGTGAGCCGACGATCGCGCCACTGCACTCCAGCTTGGCAACAGAGTGAGACTCCGTCTCGGGTGGCAGGGAGGAGGGGGAAGAACCTTTGGTCAGGCATGGTGGCTCACGCCTATAATCTCAGCACTTTGGGAGGCTGAGGTGGGAAGATCACTTGAGATCATGCATTCAAGACCAGCCTGTGGCAACACAGCCACAGACTTGTCTCTACAAAAAAATAAATAAAAATACAAAAATGGTGGCACACATCTGTAGTCCCACCCAGCTACTCGAGGGGCTAAGGAAGGAGGATAGCTTGAATCCAGGAGATTGAGACTGCACTGAGCTGTGATCGCACCACTGCACTCCAGCCTGGGCAACAGAATGAGACTCTGTCTCCAAAAAAAAAAAAAGGAAGAAATTTTTTTTTAATGTCTAATGCAGTTGTTTTTTCACTATCCCTTTATTCTTATTTCTTAATTATAAGAAAACTTAGGGCCGGGCACAGTGGCTCACACCTATAATCCCAGCACTTTGGGAGGCCGAGGCGGGTGGATCATGAGGTCAGGAGTTCGAGACCTGCCTGGCCAATATGGTGAAACCCTGTCTCTAATAAAAATATAAAAATTAGCCGGGTGTAGTGGCATGGACCTGTAGTCCCAGCTACTTGGGAGGCTGAGGCAGGAGAAATGCTTGAACCCGGGAGGCAGAGGTTGCAGTGAGCCAAGATCACGCCACTGCACTCCAGCCTGGACAACAGAGTGAGACCCTGTCTCAAAAGAAAAAAAGAAAAGAAAGAAAAGAAAAAAGAAAAAAAAAAGAAATGAAAAGAAAAGAAAACTTAATATATGTTAAAGGAAAAAAACATTTTACCCGGCTGGTAAAACTTTCCTGGTTAGCTGAGAACTAAAGCCATGAGAGTGGATGAAAGAGAATCAAAAAAAGAGGTGAAAGGACTTGGCTCAAAATATTACAACTTTAAAACTGAGTACAAACTTCCAAAGAGGTGGGAAGAAAATCAGGAAAGTATGATGTCCTGCAAGTCAAGTATCCAAGAAAGTGAATTAGAGAACGAAGTGATCAGTGATAGAATATTCTACAGATAGGTCAAGTAAGATGAGGGCTGAGACCAGACCACTAGATTTAGCAGCATGCAAGTTACTGGCAACTTGGACTAGAGCCCTTTCAGTGGTGTGGTTGCAATAAAAACCTGGCTGCGTGGGTTTAAGAGGAGAACTGATATAATCAGATATAATCAAATATAAACAACGCTACTGAGTTTTGCTTTAAAGGAAAAGAAATTCAGCAGTTGCTGGCAAAGTGAGGTCAAGAGTATTATTTTTAAATAAGTGGAAGAACAGCTTAACTGTATGCTGACGGGACTAATCCAATAAAGACAGAAAACTTGATGATCCCAGAGAGAGGGAAGAGAATTGCTGGATCCATGTCCTAAACAGACTAGCAGAGATAGGACCTAGTATACAACTGGAAGGTTCACCTTATATAGGAATGCAAATGCTTCATGAGTGAGGGGACAGTTTATTCATACTGATGAGAGAAAGTGGGTAAATACGGGGGTGGGAAATCCTCTCCTGATTGCTTCAGTTTTGCACATATCATCTGGTACTTATGACTTGTAAGCAAAAGCCAAAAGAAGCAATTTAACAACAGCATGGCATTCTGGGAGCCTAGATGGCAGAGTATTAGGGCTGCTTTCTCACTTGCCCTCTGGGTTTCTGTTCTCTAAAATCCTTGCAATCACTAAATGGCATAACTTTTTCTACAAAAGAAAGGCAGGAAATTGGGGGGCACAAAAGAGTCACTGATCCATACTGACTCTGAAATCTAGCAGGGCAAACACTGAAAGTTCCTTGATTAGGTCTCAACACTGGGAAAAGAATTCTCCATGACTTTTGCCTTCATCTCTAGGCTCCTGCTTCCAACCTCTGAGTCATCTTTCCCTTTTGATGAAAGGTGGCATGTGTTAGCTCCTGAGCACTTTCTCAGCCTGCTTCCTGCCAGCAGAATGCTAGGGGTGTCCGACAGCCTCTTTTCATTTTGTACTGTTTCTTTTCCTGTTCAGTCCTAGCTACAGTGGATTTCCTGCATATCTCACCACAATAGACAAAAGCTATACCCATAGATCTCTCCAAGAGGAACTCTTCTACCTCTACCTTGGGCTCCTGCTAAAAAGGCTAGAAGCCCTATTGTTTGACGGAGAGGCCTTGAGTGTGACTGAAGAGGATGCTAAGGCACTACCTTCTCAGGTCTTAACAGCAGGCTTTAAAGGCACAGTCTTGGCTTTATCTTTAGACCGCCATTCTCCCCGGAGTGGCTCTTGAATTGATCTTTGCCGTGTCTCAATTTCATCACCCTCTGCCAACCAGAAAGGCTGAGAATTTTCAAAATCATCAAGTTCTGGCTCCTTTTTTAACAGTGCTTCCCTCAATTTATTTATTTCCCCTCATACTTTAAGCAGCAAGAAGGAACCAGAGGGGATCTGCAATGTTTTGTTTAGAAGTTTACTTAGCTAGATCTCTCAGTTCATGAAACACACTTTCTGCTTTCCACAACTATAAATGATAGTGTTGCTAAACTTTCTACCACTACATAACAAGGATCCCCTTTCTTCCAGTTTCTTTCCTTTAAGACCTCGTGACAATCGCCTCAAAGTCCCATTTTTATAATGTGTTCAAGGTATTCTAATCTTATACTAACACTCTCCTTAAAAGTCCACTGCCCAGTTTCAAAGTCACTCCCAGTTTAGATTTTCACCAAAAAGCACCCCACTATTGGTACCAAAATCTGTAGTTATCTCTTTTTTTTTTTTTTTTTTTTTTTTTGTGATACAGGGTCTCGCTCTCTTGCTCAAGTTCTTGCTCTCAGCTCATTGCAGCTTACACCTCCCAGGCTCAGGTGATCCTCCCACCTCAGCCTCCCAAGTAGCTGGACTACAGGCACGCACCACCTTGCCCAGCTAATTTTTGTATTTTTAGTAGAGATGGGGTTTTGCTATGTTGCCCAGGCTGGTCTCAAACTCCTGGGCTCAAGCGATCCGCCTGCCTCGGCCTCACAATGTGCTGGGATTACAGATGTGAGCCACCACACCCGGCCTAGTTATCTATTTCTATGTAACAATTCATTTTCAATCACAGTAGCTTAAAACAGCATTTATTATCTCAGTTTATGTGGATCAGAAATCCAGCTGGGTAAGCTAAGTGCTTCTGGTTCAGGGACTCTCACAAGGCTGCAGTCAAGGTGTTGGCTGGGGCTGCAATCATTAAAGCTTGACTATCAAGGATCCACCACCAAACTCACTCACCTGGCTGCTGGCAGGTCACTAGCTGTTAGGCCTAGACATCACTGGCTCTTGGGCCTTCCCACAAGGCTACTTAACAGTGTAGGGGCTCTGAGAGAAAGGTAGAGAGGGCAAGCACCCAAGATAAAAGCCACAGTCTCTTTGTAACCAAATCTTAGAAGTGACATCTCATCAATTTTCCATATTCTATGCATTCAAAGTGAGTCACTAGGTCCAGCCTATAAGGGGAAGATAATACACAAGGGTATGAATATCAGGAGGTGGGGATCACTAGGGACCATCTTAGATGCTGCCTATCACAGACTAGCTGAATGTATTACAACATATTGGTTAAGAGTACTGACTCTGAAGCAAGACTGCGCATTTGAATCTTCCTTCCCCGTTGTAAGATGAAACAAGATAATAGTAATGAAAGCATCAGACCCAGTGCCTCCTATCATAGGAGGCACTTGGGAATTTGTTTTCTTATCTCTTCCAATCCCAACTGCCTTTAACAATCGAAAATTTCTCCAGTTTGAATATTATCTGCAAACATCCAATATTAGAGCAACTTGTTGAGCAACATGCAAAAATGGTTTTGATTTTCAATGAATCCAAGAAACTTATTTTTAATAACCTTAATTTAATAAAATTAAACACAAAAATAAAAATAAATATCTAAAATTACTTAAATATAGCAGAGGAGAACACAGACACAGCAACAACTGATCTTCCCAACACGTGCTCTGACCACCTACCCCTGCCCAGCCTTTGGCATCTACTGTACTGTTTAGTGAGACCTTCAGTCCCACCTTGCCAAAAAAACCATGATGTTTTTTACCTAACTGGCAATTTCAAGTACTGTACAAGAAGCAGAATAAATAAATCATTAAGAATATTTTATGTGAATGTCAATTTATCTAAGAAATAATACTTAACAATTCTACTGGGAAAAATCATGCCCATTTTACAGATGAGACACAAGAGCATAAAGATCATCTGTCTAATCATATGGCAGGCTAATGACTAGGCCAGGGACAGAAATGTAACTAGCGTATGATGAGAAACACAATGAAACCATAGTCAGTTTTCTGATTTTCATGGATACAAGAATCTTGCCAGTGATTAAAGTTCATCTCACACACTCAGGAAAAATAATTTGACAGTTATTTTAGGGAATGAAAGCTAGGTCGTTTCCCCGCATAAACAACATAAGCTTCTGACTCTTACCTCCCTCTTGATTTATTTAACCTCTGAATAGATGGTCTATATTTAAATAAGCAAGTAAAACACCGTACAAGTTAATACACAATGAAGACAGTACAGAGCCTATAGATTTGGGTTAAGTGAAACCCAAACCTAATTTTTTTTTTTTTTTTTTTTTTTTTTTTTTTGAGACAGAGTCTCACTCTGTTGCCCAGGCTGGAGTGCAGTGGCACGATCTGGGCTCACTGCAACCTCCACCTCCCGGGTCCACGCCATTCTCCTGCCTCAGCCTCCTGAGTAGCTGGAACTACAGGCACCCACCACCACATCCGGCTAATTTTTTGTATTTTTAGTAGAGACGGGGTTTCACCATGTTAGCCAGGATGGTCTCGATCTCCTGACCTCGTGATCCGCCCACCTCAGCCTCCCAAAGTGCTGGGATTACAGGCGTGAGCCACCGCGCCCGGCCCAAACACAATATTTTAGTTGAACACTTTGCTACCCAGACAGTTCATTATACCTAGAATATCCAATTAACTTTTCAACCAATATCTGTGGAATGTCTATTCTATGCTGGCCTTCAATTACAAGTAACATATGTTCTCTTATTTAATAATAGTGAAAGATGCTAAAAAAAAATGTGTGAAGAGGAGCACCAAGTTCTCACATTCAGAAAAACCTATTAATTCTAAACAGGAATGTAATGCTTTCAACTGGATTACAACTTTTAAAAGCAATATAGTCATGTGCTGCTTAATGCCAGGCACACATCCTGTGAAATGTGTTGTTAGGTGATTTCATAGTTGTGAGATCATCATAGAGTGTACTTACATAAACTCAGATGGCCTAGCCTACTACACACCTCGGCTATACGGTATGTACGACCTATTGCTCTTAGGCTACAAACATGTACAGCAGGTGACTACTGAATACTCTACTGTGGGTAATCGTAACACAATGGTATTTATGTACCTAAACACAGAGAAGGGACAGTAAAGATACAATTGTTATTTATACACTCTTATGAAACCACCGTAAGATTGAACTGCATTGACTGATGCCTTCAACTGCATTGACTGATGCATTGAACTGCACTGATGAATGATGCAGTTCATAGCTACCTGAAACGTCTTTATGTGGTACACGACTGTACAGTTTTCCAGAACCAAGAAGGAGAAAGGGGAGTTAGTGAAGTAAGACTACAACTCCTAAAATATATTTTTGTCGTTGTTGGGAAAAGGACCAGAGGAAATATATCTTGGGTGTTTAATCCTCCACCCTCCCTCTCCGTCTTGTCAATATGTGTGCTTTGACCACGCTGATTTTCTGCTCCTCCAAACGAACAATTTAAAATCTACTAAGTATTTACTTACTTGGTTCCAAATTTAGTCCTTAATTTATATATTTTACAACAACAAAATTCCATATTCTGATTTGAAACATGACCAGAAAGAGATAGTTGTTTAACATTAAATGTCATATTAAAACAAATAGTAAAGGCGGCTTTCCTAAATAACTGAAGCTTGCCATATTTTAGCATTCATGCGTAAGCCTTTCCTATCTACTTAAAATCTTTATTCTCATTGTCAAACCCTGACCTCAAGGCCCTTTTACCTCATACCTGAACAACTACAATGGTAACTGTTCTCTATGCCTTTTCTGATCCCATCTCCTGCACTTCCTTGCCCTCCCACGCCCTGGAGGTCATGGGCTATTCTCAGCAAACTCCTCTACACACTCACCTCTCTTCTGTGATATTCTCTTTACTCTTTTGATCTTAAGGAAACCAGACTGCCCCTGAGATTACTGTTGCTTCTACAGTAAACACTTTTTTCTTACTCATCACATACCTCAGCAGGGGCAAGCATCGGCCTTACTCCCCATTACCATATAGTGTTGGACCTTCCAGATATCCTCTTCCTTCCTTCCCAATACTGCTTCCAAACCACTTCTCTTCCCTCCAGGCAAACTGCACCTGTCCCCTGCTAAATAGGGCTCCCTGATTTCATCTCCATTGTTAGTCTTATCACTCTGATAACTTCAACAGCCACATAGATTCAACATTTTGGCCTTCTTTTTGAAGTCTTTAGCACCAACTGTATTTTTCCACCACCTCACCTAAAGCCATTCACCTAGCATCATATTCTAATACAATCATTACCTACAAAAATTTCAAGTATTCTATTATCACACCATCAAGCGTTTGCTTACAATAGTAGTTTGACCCCTGTGGCAATTCTCCAGCCTCCTTAAGATCTATAGTTTACAGGCTGATGTACCACTTTTTCACTATTACTCCTTCTTATGTTCTACCTCCCTCCTAAGCCAGTTTAGATCCTATGGCCTCATACTACACAGAGTCCTCTCCAAAAAATCTTAATTTCCTTGTCCTCTTTTCCCTTAGTCTAACTCATTTGGCAGCTCCAACTATGTACTTATTCCTCTCCTGCATTTAAATAACAGAAGATTGCTGGATAAAACTCACACAACTGACTCGCCACCACATACATCAAATTTATGATCACAAATCTTAGGCCTACTTCATCTCTGTAGTAAATTTACTCCCCATTTTTTTGAGATTACTATTTTATACCTTGCTTCACTCCTCAAATCTGCAATATAGTAGTCATGTATCACTTAACAACAGGAATGTGTTCTGAGAAATGCATCACTGAGCAATCTGATTGTGTGAGAACATCAAGGTTCCGTGTGCTTACACCAACCTAGATGGTCTAGTCTACTACATACCTAGGCTATACAATACAGCCCATTGCTCTAGGCTATTGTCTTAGTCCATTTAATGTTGCTATAAAGGAATACCTGAGGCTGTGTAATTGATAAAGAAAAGAGGTTTATTTGGCTCACAGTTCTGCAGGTTGTGCAAGAAGTGTGGCACTGGCACCTGCATCTGGTGAGGGTCTCTGGCTGCTTCCTTCCACTCATGGCAGAAAGGGAAGAGGGGTTGAAGTCAGCAATGACCTCCATATTGCTAAACTCAGGCTTCTGCCCTCATCATTCCACCAAAATAACCCTTGCTAAAGTCACCAATGACTTCCATATTGCTAAATCCAAGGACAGTTTTCAGTGTCTTGCCACAATCTCTTATCTTGATTTCCTAATGTCCTGGTTTTCCTCCTTAAGAATAAGGTCTTTAAAACCTAGTTCCCTGCTTCCTTTGAAAATCTTGGCCGGGCACACTGACTAAGTCCTGTAATCCCAGCACTCTGGGAGGCCAAGGTGGGCAGATCTCTTCAGGTCAGGAGTTCAAGACCAGCCTGGCCAACATGGTGAAACTCCATATCTATTAAAAATACAAAAATTAGCTCGGCGTGGTGTGGGTGCCTGTAATCCCAGCTACCTGGGAGGCTTGAGGCAGGAGAATCGCTTGAATGCAGGAGGCGAAGGGTGCAGTGAGCCAAGATCATGCCACTGTGCTCCAGGGTGGGTGACAAAGCAAGACTCCATCTCAAAAAGGAAAAGAAAAGAAAAGAAAATTCATTCTTCTCCAGGCATTAACTTCTCTTCTTGCTCTACATTCCTCCCTAGACCGTTATCATTTTAAGCCATTATGAGACCCGCTCGGGGCATGCAGGTTTCTCACAATAGAGGAAAGCCTCTGTCTTTCCTTCTGTTTCCAGACCTAGGTGGCCATGTAAGCAATATTTCCTCTTGAACATCTCAAAGTTACCCAAGTACTAAATCCAAAACCAAACCCATGATCCCTTTCATCTTCCCTCCTACAAAAACCTGGTCCTCTTCTAAATTATAACATCCTGTCAATTTTACCTTCTGAATCTCTCAATACAGTTCCGCTTCCCTCCAGCCCATTCTATCATGACCTTCCCTGTCACTCAGACTCTTACACAACAATCACCTAACTTCTCTCTGCACTTTTACTCTCCTCTAATCTATGTAGGTATCTTTTTAAAAAATCTAATTATAAACTTCACTTCACCCTACTCCCAATCCTACTTAGAATCTTTTAATGGCTTTTCACTGTCAAGTACGGTACCTATCACGGCATCTGACCTTAAATGTTATCTGAACTGAGCCATTGTCTACATTTTGTGATAATTCAATTTACTATTAAGTCTAGTTCTCTAATTGTGTAGAGCAATTAGAGTGGCAAAATAGTGATAAAAAGCACTAAATGACTAACGTGAAACCTGAATAAGGTGTTGTTATTAGCTTATTTTTGCCTCACACAAAAGAACTTCCAGAAACTTTCACAGATTATCTCTATAATCTCTTGGTCCCATTTTAAAGATTAGGAAACATGCTCAGAAAGATGATACACTGACAAATGGCACAACCAAGACCCGAAACTGTATCTTTTGACTCACAGTCTGTGACTTTCAAGTTTTATGATAAAGCCATCAGTTACTTGCTACTTCATTTCTAAAATGACTGATATGCATTTTTCTAAGATTATTCCATGAATGTTCCTAAGAATATATCTTTTTCGTAACCTGAAAAATCAAGGTATACACAGTTAAGTAATTGTCTCAAGTAACGAAGGGTGATGAAAACAGAATTCAGGTTTCCTTATTTTCATTTCTCTACTCTAGCCTTGTACCATGCTGAATGCTAGTACAGGTAGTGTCCCTCATCTGTGGGAAATATATTCCAAGACCCCCAAGTAGATGCCTGAAACTTTGGGTAGTACTGAATTCTATATATACTACGATTAAGTTTAATTTGTAAGTTAGGCACAGTAAGAGATTAATGATAACTAATAATAAAACTGAATAATTATATACTATAATAAAAGTTACACGAATGTGGTTTCTTTATCTCTCTCAAAATATAATACTTTTGAAGTGTGATTGACCTTGGGTAACTAGAGATACAGAAAGTGAAGCCATGGATAAGGGGGACTACTATACTGATAAACTGGAAACCACTGAACAAATACAAGACGAGGCTAATTGTGGTATAGCAAGTTTTAGGGATGGACAAACCACAGTTCAAATTCTAACTCTGACAATTGCAAACTGTGTGACTTTGCAAGTTACTGAAATATCTGCTTTCTCATCTGTAAAATGAAGATAATAGCTAACACTCAGGTGCACTGAGGAGTAAATGTTATCACTCAATAGACAGTTTAAAATAAAATAAAATGAAACAAAAAAAAATCAGGTTCTCCCAAAAGAAGCTAGCATAAAATGAAATAAGAGCCATAGTTTTTAAAAGATGAGATTGCGTTTCCAGGTCTGCCATTTACTGCTTGTCATATACTCTCTCATGGTTGCTTTCCTCACCTGTACAATAGGGATAATGATACTTAGTCCTTAGCAATGTTGTGAGGATGAAATAGCACATAAAAGGATTTCACTTATGTATGTTAATTGAATAGCATATAAAAATCATTATTATCTGTGTAGACAGATTCGAATAGCATTCAAAAATCATTATTACCTGTGCATACAGATTCTCTACCATGGTGTTATAAATTTGTTAAGGGCACACTATGTCTTCGCTCTGTTGCCCAGGCTGGAAAGCAGTGGCGTGATCTCGGCTCACTGCAACCTCCACCTCCCGGGTTCAAGCAATTCTTCTGCCTCAGCCTCCTGAGTAGCTGAGACTACAGGTGCGTGCCACCATGCCCAGCTAATTGTTTGTATTTTTAGTAGAGACGGTGTTTCACCATGTTAGCCAGAATGGTCTCGATCTCCTGACCTCATGATCCGCCATCCTCGGCCTTCCAAAGTGCTAGGATTACAGGCGTGAGCCACTAAGGCCGGCCAGGGCACACTATGTCTTTAATCTTTAATCATCTTTGTATTTGCAACAGCTGGCTCTACCCATTATGGGCATTCATTAAATGTTGGCTGAACTGATTTATTAAGAAGACAGAATTGAACTATGAAAAAACAACAGTTCAAAATAAAATCCAGAAGTTCATCCATATAGAGCATGAATAAGAGAGGGCCTGGTGCCTGTCCAGCTAAGACTGCACAGACAGGGAGAACATATCCTGTTTTCTGGTAATTTAAGTAAGTGGTCTATAATTATGTTTATTGGATATAAATTACATAATCATCAAACAAGTAAGTTGCCTCAGTACAGGAATCATATCTGTCTGTCTCTTTCCCTGTTTTTGATGATGGCGAGAGAGGGAAAATAAATGACATAATGAATGCTTAATAGTACTGTGCAACGCAAAAAAAAAAAAAAAGTTTACAACAAATAATGGGGATTTTTCTCCATCAGGAGGCAACCTTAACAAGGGCTCCCGAGCCACGAGTACTTAACATACAAACTAAGAGGAAAAATATTTCACAAAAAACTAGTTTGTGTTTATCAAAGTTCTCCCTAGATGAATTCAAAGATACCCTCAACGTGATACAGAAAACACTTCGGAGTGGTGAGTAGTCTGCCTATGCAAATGTTCAAAGCAAAAAGTTGGCTTGTACTAGTTATTTACTGAGCATCTATTGTGTGCCATTCACTATGTTAAGTATATTCATAGATTATCTCAAATCTTCACAACAATCCTGAGTGCCACTATTTTCCCTATATGACAAATGAAACTGAGGCTCAGAGAGGTTAAGTAACTTAACAGTCATACACTTGGAAATGGCAGGGGTGGGATTTAGACCTAGTGAGGTTTCTGAAACCCGTATTCTTTTCACCACCTCATGCTGCCAACTGACGCTACCAAATTCACTAAAAAAGAGGATGACTCAACAGGAAAGCGGGGAGAAAATCTGGCAAAGCAGCATAGAGAGCGCACAAGATAGCATTCTATCTCAGAGTTCTAGACACACAGGAGCAAATTAATGAGCTGCATCTAACTACACAAATGAAAATGCTTGGATAAGCTGTAACTTTTACTCTTCAATTCTACAGGTTCTAAAAATGCCCATCTGCACCAATTCAGAGGTACTGACAACTGAACATAGTCCAGTAATTTTTCTAGAATACTCAGAAAGAGTGCCTTTGACCCATTACTGGTACCAAACCAAGCATGCAAGGGAGGTGATACAGTATGTTTGACAGTTTTCTCTGATCACCTAGACCTAAACATCCTTGCAGAACTGGGCATTTTTCAGGCATATCTACTGTTACATAAAATTCACTTCATGGAATTTCAGAATCAGAAGAGGTTCAGTTCAATTATCTTACGCATGTGGAAACTGAGTCTCAGAATAGTTATATGACTGCCGAAAGTCACATGGCTTGGTACTGGCTAAACCTACACTAAAACTCTCATCTCCTATTCCTAGTCCACAGCAGCTCCTCTGTGCCTCCCACTGAATGCGTGACCACCAAGGCTTCCTTCTATGTATCTGGGCATTATTCGCTATAGCTCCTTCTGCACGTCCTCAATGAAGTAAACAAAGGCATTGGGCTAGATGACACAAATAATAAAAGAGATAGAGCTGACCTGCTTTTTGCCCTCTAGGCAGTGCTACCCAAGCCTTCAGGTGTCATGGCATACATAGGAAATATTTTTATAGCACAAAGTGGTAAACAAATTAGGGTGCACATGATCAAAGTGACCAGGGGACTCCCAAGCCCCAGCTGGCTGCTCCAAGGGTTGTGGGGTATAGTAATCTTGGCATATTTCTATCTCAATCTGGCATGTAGCATTGGTAGGGAAGCTCTGTTCCAGGGTTAATAAGTAAAAAAAAAAATTGAGATAAATACACAAGTAACTGTAACATAAGCACAAAGGAAATAACTAAGGAGACTGTCACTGTCTGCTTTCATCAAACATAAGTGAGTGAAAATGAGATTAATTCAACTTGCTTCCTTTCATAACTCCTCTTCCAAACAAATCAAAAGACAGAACAGCCCATCCTTCAGGTCAACAGGGCTGATCAATCCCACCCACAAGGCTGCAAAGAGCCTGCACAGATGACTAGTTTACAGGGAGGCGAAAACTACTTAATGCACATTAGTGTGTCAGAAAAGTTCTGAGCTCTTACAAATACTACAAAAAAAATCAATAGAGAAGAGAAAATAATATTTCAAGGTCATATTTAAACATGAAGGGAGAAGCACGAAAAGCAGCCCCTCCGAACATACACACATACATATACATCTTCTGTGAACAAGCTCCATCTCTGCAAACGCAGTTAACATTTGCTTTCTGATAATTTATAAATTTAGCCTGTGTTAGCCAAGTAGGTTCCTGCAATTCCAGACATCTGGGCTGAAGGGCAAAGGGCAAAGGGAAACTTTCAAAAAGCTGGTTAGTAGCCAAGAGCATCACATCTAGTAGGCTCCCTTAGCAACACACAACAGCTGTTTGCTCAAGAGACATACTGCCATCTTTGCAACGGACTGTAAGATGTTCTTGTCTTAACAACTAAAAATTGCAGGCGGCTTGGGGGAGCAGTTTCTCTATTATTTCCCCTGACATTTCTCTAAAAGTTATCACATTTCATAATTTACAAACTTCTCCAGTCCCAGAAAGTTTCTCTCCATCCCAAACTACAATGCTACTATTGACGGTAAATTACAGTAATAGAAGGTACTACATTCCTGGCAAATATAAAATGCTTTATAATGTCTCATTATTAATTACTATTCTAACTGCTATAGACTTGATTTCTAACTACGGGCAAGTCACTCTTTGTGGCTTAATTACTTTCCTCACACAATTTTAATAACAGTAGTGAGTGACCTATTTCACAAGACTATTGTGAAGGATAGTAAAAATTATTAGATAAAAGCTTATGAAAGCTTATTCCTAATTAATAATCATGCCGCCTATTGGCTCTCAATATCTAAAGACATGGCTTAACAAGGTCAGTACCCCCAAAACAAAACACAAGTCGATCCTGAGCCACCAGGAAGACTGCAGTTCCTGAAGCAACCAGCTCACAACTTCACCTGCCCCACTTGCCTTCTCCAAACCTACCAAGCCCAGGGGATGGTACTGCGCAGGGAGTTCAGCCCTTGCGCCTAAGTCTGACAAGATAAACAACATAGGGGGAGGAAAAAAAACAATGTCACAATCACCGCTAGGTTTTAAAAACCTAACACCTTGGAACAGAAGGGGATGTGGCAGTCTGTGCTCTGTGGGGAGGCCATTTGTGCAACAGCAGAACCTCGCAGCTTTCCACTCCTTATATGTGCAAGTGCAAACCCTCACCCACAGCACTCTGTACTCACCCAGAGGTACATCATGTCAGATCGGGCTGCTCAAACTCAGCGGTCAGTGGATCCTGGACTGCAAAAAGGCACTTCAGTGAACCACAGGAAAGAAGATGCCAAAACTGGGGGGCAAGAGTTTGAGGTGGGGAGAAACCCCCCAAAATCACTTGAGTTAAAAAATCCTAAAAAAAAAAAAAAGAAAAGACTGGTCTCCTCCCCCCTCCGCTCCAGCTGACTGTTCTGTTGTTCTCTCTCCTCCCTCTCACCCTCCCTCCGTCCCTCCCTCTCTCTCTCTCTCTTTCTCTCTCTCTCTCTGGGAGTTCCCAGCTCTGAGTATCTGAACTAGAGTGTACAGCACACTCTCTCTGTATTTGCCTTCAGGGAATCTCTCTCTGCAATTCTACTTCTAGAAACACAATCACCACTCACAAAGATTATTGCAAAAGACAGGGATGGGTGGGGTCAGTAATAAACCACCAGCACCAGTTTCTAGTGCTAGATATACATTAGTTTAAGATGAGTTCTTTAAACATGAATGAAGCAATCAAAAATCTCTGCCCTCTAAGATCAAGGCAAGTGAGCCAAGCTTTCCCTCTGCCCCAATTGTGGAGCCCCTTGCAGAAGCCAAGCACACACACAGAACCTGCTCAGAGCCCACATTCCTTTCTCACAATGTGTGCTTGACACCACTATTCTTTACGTCATTTCACCACTAATAATTCTTAATCTTGCAAGATTTCAAAACACAGGAAAACTTAAGATATAAAACTGAATAGGCTTTTCATCTTTTTTATTACTACTGCCCTAGTTCACATCAACATAGCCTGGCTTCTGAAGGAGTCAAGTGGATCATGAGCTCGTAGCATGGTACAGACACTTTACTCACCACGCAGACGGGCTAAGGTGCACGGCTTGGGTTTCAATTCTAGATCTACAAGTACTATCATTATGGCCTGGGGAAAGTTTCCAACCTGTCCAGGCTTCTGTTTCCTCTACCAAAAAATAGGTTTAATACTCCTTTCAGAGGTGTTGTAATGATATAACTACGTAAACTGTCTGCCATGTTCCTGGTGACCATGTTTTCTAATTTTAATTCAGTTCAAACATTTATTAAGTACTTCCTATATGCCAGGCGAGTTTTCATTCATTATGCCCAGTGGTGAACAAGTATTATCAAATCACCTGTCCTAATGGTTTTTATTCAGAAAATCACGTAATTATCCCCCATATTCTAATGCCAATGTCAATGCCCATACGTGTTCCTTGCTTCCCCGACCCCTTTCTCCATGTTCAAATCCAAAAGCAAACCCCAGCTGTGAGTGAGCTCTCCTTTCTCTGTGGGGACTGGTGTTTGTAACATGGCATTGACCACCTCTGTGGGCTACTTCTCCAAGTATTCCTATAGCAAACCACTTCTCCTCTGCACATCTTCCTCAGTGGAGACCTAACATCTCGTCTTGGCTCATCCATTTTTGGCCATGGAGTCTTTTGCATAGTACCTAGCACACAGTAGGTGCACAAAACATTCTCAAACGGTAACAGGTTTTGAGGAATATTCCACTCCTTCCCACTCATTAAAGAAAACACAAAACAAAATAAAAAGCAAACAAAAACCACCTTCCAGCTGCCTCAGGGTTTTGGCTCCCCCTCAGACATGCTGAAACAGCTCCTTCCTGCTTATAAAATCTCCAAGTAAGGTCTACAAGTCTCACATTCAAGGTAGGCCCCATGCAGGTACTTTCACTCTCCCTACCTAATATTCCCACTGTGCGTGCTCTGGGCTTAGTTACCTGCCATAGTGGGGTTTCTTCCTCTTAGGGTAGAAATAGAATCACTTTTCCTTTTCTTTCACACTGAACGCATGCTTTCCGCAGACGAACGTTTTCTCTCCTCCCACCTTAAACTCCCAGCTCATTTAAACTTGGAGAGGTGGGGCAGGTATTCTTCTTGGCCTCACCCAAACCTTTTCTTTTTCTCTACATAGAACCTCTCTGCTTCTTCTGAAGGCAAGATTACTACATTTCTAGTACAAAAGAGGAGAAAGAACTTCCAAGCCTGAAACTGAGATAGCCTGTTTTCTAAATAAAAGAAAAAAAGAAAAATAAATCTTGACTTTCCATAAAGTGTTACTTAGACTCTTTTACATGTCCATAATCAGTTTTTATACACAACTTTCCTCTCTAGTTACATGGCTCATGCCCTAAATCTTAAGTCACCAACACTCCCCATACCATACTGTAAATAACTATATTAAAATTACACTGATAAGAGATTCATTTTTTCAAATTCTTTGAAGAGTCTTTTATTACTCGACACTCATTCTTTTTTTTTCTTTTTAACCTCAAATGTTTTAATGGTGGGATCTTATTCACTGTGTACAGGATTCTCTAAAGAGACCACCTGGCTGGGTGCTCAAACCACACGGGCTGACCCAAAAGACACCAAAACCAAGAGTTGCTCGGGAGGCACTAAATGTTGACGGTCTTGGCCAGCTTCACATCCTCAATTTCAGCAGACAGCCAGCAGTAAGTGTGATGAAGCCGCAGCACCTCAATGGCCTTGAGTTCCAGTGGTGTTGCCTGAATACCAAGGTCTTCTAAGCTGGGCAGGTGAGACAAGGTCATGTCTGTGATGTGAATACGCTCCACTTTATCCCTTGTTGTCCAGGACTCAAATGGGCTTATTTCAAAGTCTCTTGCTACCCACTGATAGGCAAAAGGTGGCAAGGGGTACGGGAGGAAGTACCCCTTTGCTGTGAGCCACAGCAAAGATGTACTTCACCAGGTCAAAGAGGAGATATCGATTTGGCCCAACGAAAGCAAAGGTTTTCCCATTGGCATCAGGATCCTTAACTGCATTAACAATTCCTTTGGATACATCTACGACGTATACTGGTTGTTTAACTGCCTTCCAGCCCAAGGAAACAAGGGGTATAGCACCAAACCAACACATATTTGCAAAATAATTAAGGAATCTATCCTCTCTTCCAAAGATGTCCAACAGCTTTACGATAATGGCTTCTGGAAATGTGTCTCTCACTGCTTTCTCTCCAACAGCCTTCTTTCTCAAATATCTAGAAGAGCTTTTAATATTCACATTCAGATGTGCAACATGAATGAATTTTCCAACTTCAGCTTCCTTGGACACCTGAGCAATTGCTTGGGGAATCTTCACAAAAACATCCTCAAAATCAAAGTTTTTGGTTTCCCAGTCTCGTCCAACAAGATTTATGACCACATTGCTGTGTTCCACTACTCGTCAGATAGAATCTTTATCTCTCGCGTCCCATTCCAGAAACAGAAGCTAGCCCAGGTCTCCCATGGGACGAAGGTGCATGATGTCACATGTATCACACCGATAGGGTATGATCACCTGTGACCCCACGCGTCCAAGGTGGTTGACAACACATCGGCCCAGGAATCCTGTTGCTCCAAACCCAGTGGCCACAATCCCACTGACTTGAGGAACATTCACCTTTCCCATGAGGTATGAGGGCATGATGAAGCTGGCAATGGAGTGGGCTGTGACACACGGATGTGGCTATTGCAGTAATGGCAGAATGTGACATTGGCAGGGCCCAGACAACCCGGGATTGTGCAGCGGCCGCCATCTTCTCCCACAATCCTTTTTTTTTTTTTTTTTTTTTTCTGAGACAGGGTCTCACTCTGTAGCCCAGGCTGCAGTGCAGTGGCGTGATCTCGACTCATCGCAACCTCTGCCTCCCAGGCTCAAGCGATCCTCTCACCTCAGCCTCCAGAGTAGCTGGGACCACAGGCACACGCCACCACGCCTGGCTAATTTTTTTGTATTTTTGGTAGAAACGGGGTTTCACTATGTTGCCCAGGTTGGTCTTGAACTCCTGACCTCAAGCGATCCACCTGCCTGGGCCTCCCAAAGTGTGGGATTACAAGCATGAGCCACCATGACCACTGGCAGTCATTCATTCTTAACCAAGTATCAATAAAATAAATACAATGAAATTCTGGATCTTCATACTGTAATTTTATAGTGTTATCTTTTAATCAAGTTTAGGATAGGATAAAGATAAAAGGTTGGGCGTGGTGGCTCATGCCTGTCATCCCAGCACTTTGGGAGGCCGAGGCGGGCAGATCACCTGAGGTCAAGACCAGCCTGACCAACATGAGAAACCTTGTCTCTACTAAAAATACAAAAATTAGCTGGGCATGGTGGCGCATGCCTGTAATCCCAGCTACTCAGGAGGCTGAGGCAGGAGAATTGCTTGAACCCAGGAGGCAGAGGTTGCGGTGAGCCGAGGTCTAGCCATTGCACTCCAGCCTGAGCAACAAGAGCAAAATTCTGTCTCAAAAATAACATAACATAACATAACATAACATAACATAACATAACATAACATAACATAACAAACATAAAAAATAAAATAAAATAAAATATAAAAGACATACCCTGCAGCAAAGCAGGAGAAAAATACCAAGAAAAGAAACCCTCAAAATAAAGAAAAGTTTAAATATGTCACAAAAACTCTGCAAACTACCTCTGAAACTCCCATGGGTGGAACCACCATAAACTTCTTTGGAACCACAGGAAGGGCTTGTAAATTCCTATTATAAATGCATCTATTTCTTTTCTGATCATAATCTTTAAAATTAGGTGGTCAGTCTGGTCAGAAATAAAACTCTTCTGTATGTTACCTTTATGAAAACATACAAAAACCAAAAACCCACAGGGAAGCTAAGTTATCTTTTTTATTCATGCTCCTGCATGTTCACATTTTTCTACCTTTAAAACAAAACAAAAAAAAAAAAAGAAAGAAAGAAAAAAGGGGGAACAAAGTGGTAGGAGAAGAAAAAAATTTATTTCCAATTATCAAAGTCAAATAAGGAAAGCTATGCTTTATAGCTATATACAATTCACATTAAGAGACAAAAAGGTGTAAAAACTCCACACTATAAAGAGACTCTAAAAAGAATCACAGTCTTATACACAGAGATTAAGATGCACACATACTTCATTCTATCAGGAGAGCATGTTATCAGACTTTGTGACTGATAGCTTATCACCCTATCTGTTAGTTCAGAGGAGAGAATGTGTCCATTTGAGCACTAAAGAAAGTCTTCTGAGGAGGGCCCACAGAAGAAGTTTCTGGCATGCTTGCTTCTGAGAAAGAAAAATCAGATAATCTGGGACAGCAATATGGGTATTGCCAATAATTCTAACCTTGCTTCCTGAATTCCTACATCTCAAAAATGCTGGATTTTGCAATGTGAGTCTGGTGGGCAGAAAGGGTCTGGAGCCACATTTTAGATGCTCTGCCTCTGACTCCAATAATTCAAGAGGCTACTTGTTTTGTTTGTTTTTGAGATGGAGTCTCACTCTGTGGCCCAGGTTGGAGTGCAGTGGCATGATCTCGGCTCACTGCAACCTCCGCCTCCCGGGTTCAAGTGATTCTCCTGTCTCAACCTCCCAAGTGGCTGGGATTACAGGCGCCTGCCACCACACCCAGCTATTTTTGTATTTTTAGTAGAGACAAGGTTTCACCATGTTGGCCAGGCTGGCAGGCTACTTGTTTTATACGAGTTTCTCTGTGGTTGTAAGAGGATAGCGGGGGGAAGTAGGTATACCGGGGGAGCCAGCACAATTTCTCAAAAATGTACCTGAGAAATCAGGCACTAAAAATTCTTCAGAAGAAATCTGAGGCAACCCTCTATACATAGTTTATATTCCTATCACTTCCTGGACTGGTAGAGACAATACAGACTCACCAAAACAACACTGAGGTAGAGAAATGAGATGTATGAGTATTGTCTATGAAGCTGACTTAAAAAAAAAAAAAAAAGTCGAAAGAATGAGGCTCTTTTTCCCTCACTTCCTCTCAGCTTAAAATAGCAGGGATTCCCACAGGGCAATCTCTAACAGAATTCTGCTACTCAAATGTGACACATGGACCAGCAACAGCAGAATGAGCATCAACTGGAAACTCCTTAGATTTGAAGAATCTCAGGCCCCACCCTAGACTTACAAAATCAAAATCATATGATAACAAAAGCCCCAGGTAACTCTCAGGCACACCGAAATCTGAGAAGCTGGTCTAGACAGAGGCACTGGCCACATGCAGCAGTAGCGACTCATGGGAGAAGGCGTAGATATGGCTGCCACTTTCCAGTTAGGGGATGTAAACCACCCTGGAAGACAAAACAGTGAACATTCCTCTCCCACTTGCTGGTTTCAATGTAACACCACCAACCGCTACTATTTACTCAGAGCATATTATGTGCCACAACTTTGCATGCATTATCTCATTGCATCTTCACAATATCTCTGTAAGACAGGCCCTGTTATCTTTTTCACAGATCAAAGGAAATTGAGGCCCAAAGTGGTTACATAATATACTCATGGTCTCACAGCTAGTGAATAAAGAGCCAAAAGTTCAACGTTCGTTTTTAAGACTCCAAGATCATTTCCACTAAATCATACCTATTCACTGACAAAACTGAATCAAGACTGGAAAAAAAATCACTGAAAAACTTACCCTGGATATAAATAACCCTGCACTCTACCTCTGCCCATTACCAAGACTTTAAATAACAAATGAAGCCAGGTGTGGTGATGTGAGCCTGTAATCCTAGCTTCTCAGGAGGCTGAGGCAGGAGGGTTTGCTTGAGCTCAGGAGTTTGAGACCAGCCTGGGCAACATAGTAAAACTCTCATCTCAAGAAAAAAGTAAAAAACAACAACAAACGACAGAGATAGGGTTTGGGAGTTGGTGTACACATACTGTACTTGTGCACTGGCCAAAACACTGCTACTACTGATGTCATTCAGAGAATAGACCCAGAAACTTCTGTGAATGGTGGTTACCTTCTATGATGTCTAAACTAAGCTCTAGATGTATATATACATGGAGAAAGCGGTCCATCTCAAAGCTAGCCTCTTGGGAAAGGCAATTAAGTGATTTGTTAGAGCTCTTACTCCCAGTTATTAGGAAACCCAGAGCTACCACCCCTAAAACAGAAGACTGCATTATCTTGGCTGGGCGCGGTGACTCACACCTATAATCCCAGCAATTTGGGAGGCTGAGGCAGGCGGATCACTTGAGTTCAGGAGTTCAAGACCAGCCTGGCCAACATGGTGAAACCCCATCTCTGCTGAAAATACAAAAATTAGCCAGGTGTGGTGGTGCATCTGTAGTCTCAGCTACTCAGGAGGCTGAGGCAGGAGAATCGCTTGAACCCTAGAGGCAGAGGTTGCAGTCAGCTGAGAATGCACCACTGCACTCCAGCCTGGGCGACAGAGTGAGACTCTGTCTCAAAAAAAAAAGAGAAGAAAAGCTGCATCATCTTAAAAGACCCATCTTTCCTTATTACGTTTCAATTATACTCTCAAAGAACTTCCCTTACTTCTAACTAGCTTTCTCTGGTATCCCCTCCCTACAATTTTTGACGTCATGAAGTCCTCCCATCCCAACCACTTTTCCATTATCTACCCACTCCGGTTCTGCACCCTCTTTGTCCAATTTTGATGCCGTGTTCCATAATTACAATCTCTCCCTTGCAAATACCCTCAATCATTTGTCCTCTCCATCACTGCCACCTGACACAACTCCAATCCTGGTTAAATCCAATTGTCTGCCTTTTCTAGTGCCTATGCCCAATCAGCTGAATGTTGCTGAAGAAAAATCACATAACCAAGCTGACTGACTTCACTATATATTCATGATCACAAACCTCAAATGGACACTCAACGATGCCAAGCAATCCACCAAAGCTGCCCTTGAAAGCTTTCCTACTCCCCAAAATGACTATTTCTTGCTTCTCCTCAAACCTCCCTCATTCACTCTTCACTACCTACTCTCAGCTAATTTTCTTATTTTACTTTTTGTCTGTTTGTTTTGAGACAGGATCTCACTCTGTCGCCCAGGCTGGAGTGCAGTGGTGCGATCATGGCTCACTGCAGCCTTGACCTCCCGGGCTCAAACTATTCTCCCACCTCAGCCTCCCAAGTGGCTGGAACTACATGCACATGCCACCACGCCCAGCTAATTAAAAAAAAAAAAAAAAAATTTAGAGAAGGGGCGGGTCTCACTATGTTGCCCAGACTAGTCTTGAATTCCTGGGTTCAAGCAATCTTCCTGCCCCAGCCTCCCAAAATGCAGGGATTACAGCCATGAGCCACTACACACAACCTCTTAGCTAATTTTCTATGTCATTTTAAATGAGAAGCATTCAGACAGTATCTTCTTACCACTAAATCTAATGTTCTATAATAAGTAAATGATTAAATGAACCCTAATTTTTTTAAAGTTCTCCTTTGACCCCTCATCTCCCTCCAGCTACCTGCTATTTCCCTGCTCACCACTTCAGGGTAAATTATCTTGAAAAAGTTGTTGTCTATATCTGTCTCAATTTCTTCACTTCTCATTTTCTTCAATCTACTCAAAACAAAGTTTCCAAGCCCTCCACTCCATTAAATCAACTTATCAAGGTCTACTACTTCCACATTTATCTGACCTCTTAGCAGGATTCAACAAAGCTGACAATCTTCTTAAAACATTCTCTTCTTCTGGCTTCTGAGATACTACAATGCCATTTTTTTTGTTTTTTCATGCATCACTGGTTACTGTTTCAGTATCTTTTTATGGCTTCTCCCTCGACAGACCTCTAAAAGGCAAGTGTTCCTTGGGGTTCAATCCTGAGTCATCTTCTCTAAGTTGTCTCATCCATTCCCATCACTTCAAATACCATCAACATGTTAATAACTACCAAGTTACACCCCTAGCAGAGACCTCTCCCCATGCTCCAATATGACTACTTAGCTGTCACACAAGCATGTCAAACTCAACATGCCCAAAATTGGGTCCTTAATTCTCCACCATCACCACCCTTGAAGTCCCCTGGTACTACCTGACAATTATGAAAGCCAGAAACCCTTCCTTCACCCCTCATCCCTCACATCCAACCTACAGCAACTTCTGTGTGTGTGACTTCACTTGACCTCCACTGCCTTAAACCACCTTAACCCAAGCCACCATCATCTCTTTCCTGAATATCACACTAGTTTCCCCATTTCCATTGTTGCTCCCTTCCAAAACACCATCACACAGCAGCCAGAGAAACTCTGTAAAACAAACACCAGATCTTATCACTCTCCTACTTCCACGGCATCACATTACATTTTTCTTTCCAAACTCCTTATGATGGTCTTTAAGGTCCTATATGACCTGCTATGTGCCCACTTCTCCAACCTCACTTCATACCATATCTCCTCTCAATCACTATTCTAAAGACACTGATTTTGTGTCAATTCCTCTCCCCCATACCCCTTAATTCCCTCTTTCTGAAATCCCTCCTCGTTCCACCTTCATTCTTTGCAAGCCAGGCTCCTTCTTATCTTTTAGAACTCAGCTTAAATATCACTTCCTCAAATAAAACTCTCCAGACTCCTCTATCTAGTTGGAGGTCTTTCCCCACAAGCCCGTACTCTCTGTTACTGTGCCCTGTTTATGTTCTTCCTAGCAGTTACCAAAATCTTTAATTATTTATGCTTTTTTTGGTTACAGATTTCTCCATTAGAAAGTAATGTTTTGTGTATGTCAGATACAACTGAAATCTTCTACTATGAAACGCTTTATCCTTTGACTTTTTGTTAGGGAAGGTCAAAGTTATTTGCAGGAGTTTCTGGCACTCAGGCAACTGTCTAACCAAGTCCTATAAATAAAGTTAGAGTGCTACTAATTTCACCCTAGTTACCAAAAGGACTCACAGCTTTGCCACAGATACAAACCACAAATAAATGCTGGTAACAATGGCTTTAAAATGCTACACTGTGAAATAATCATAACGTCAATATGAAAAGGCAGTTCCAATTTAATCATTTACTTTAAGCTAATCTGATAATCTACATTCCAAATTGTCTCCCTTCCAAAACTATAAATTTATTCTTCTCAGCACAATAATAGCATCCCAGTTCAAGCTCTCCTCTAATCAAGCTTGCTGTATATAAGTTAGTTAACTAGAGTCTAGAACTACGTCGTCTAACACGCAGCCAGCTGTCATATGTGGTTATGTGAATTTAACTTAATTAAAATTAAAATTTCAGTTACTTAATACTAGCCACATGTCAAGTGCTCAAGAGCCACGTGAGGATAGTGGCTATCATAATGGATAGGGCAGACATAAAACATTTCTATCATCACAGAAAGGTCTATTAGACAGAGCTGTCCTAGAACACGGTAATAACCAGGAAGCAAAAAGGCCCTCTAGGTATCCAGAATTCCAAAACATTCATTCCAAAATTTTCATCGGCAGGAAAACTCCATCAGACCTTCTCTCTGAATCTATTTATTTTTATTTTAGGAATATTTCTGTCCTGGTTATCTGGCTAATTGTCCACCAAAAATTTACAAAGCAAATTAAGAAAAGGAACTGGGAAGCAGTGGGGAATAAGTACCAGAGGAAAAAGGAATATTATGTTAGAGGCAGCCAACATAGGAAACAAGAAAGATGAAGAGAAAAAAAATCTAAAAAGCAGGTAAAATAGATAGATGATATATGTCAAAATGGTGCCACTTAGTAAGGCAAAACCAGCAAAAGCTCCTGAAATATTACTCTTTTATATTCCTAAACAATACTGATGCTGATACCTGTGTTAAAACCATTTAAAAATGCCCACTATTTTACTGTTAAGAAGAAATAAATTTTATAGTTATACAACACAATTTAGAAGGATTTATTTC
This sequence comes from Homo sapiens, assembly GCF_000001405.40. Classification (NCBI taxonomy): domain Eukaryota; kingdom Metazoa; phylum Chordata; class Mammalia; order Primates; family Hominidae; genus Homo; species Homo sapiens. Next base: position 226,503 of record NT_187630.1, read on the forward strand.
TGAAATGACTGAATCTTAAATACCTTGGTCTTTAAAGAAGGGAAAATCCTCTCAGCTGGTTAGGATACTCAGCCATGAAGAAGAGAAATATTCTGCACAAATTCAAGAGTTCAGTCCCTTGAATATGAATGAATGCGTTTACAGAGCAGGTATAGATATGTAAGTAAGACATGACTCTCCTGTTTAATGAATTATGGCTTATCCATACAGTGAAACACTGAACAGTATAGCCTTGGGGGAGGGGGATGAGGAAGCTCTTAAAATACCATTATGAAATACTCTAATAGAGTCATGCACTGCATAGCAATGTTTCAGTCAATGATGGAACACATATGTCATGGTGGTCCCGTAAGATGATAATGCCATGTTTTTACTGTGCCTTGTCCATGCTTAGATATGTTTAAATATGAAAATATTTGCCATTGTGTTACAATTGCCTACAGTAATCAGTAGAGTAACATGCTGTACTGGTTTGCAGCCTAAAGGCATTAGGCTGTACCATATATAATATATAGTCAGGTATATATCTAGGTTTGTGTAAGTACATTCTATGATGTTTTCACAATGAAGTCACCTAATGACACATTTCTCAAAAAGTATCCTTATCATTAAGCCATGCATACCGCATATGTCATTAAGTGGAAAAAAGAAAGGTTTAGCAATGGTTTTAAAACCAGTGGTTTTTTAAATGGGAGGAAAAGATCAAAGGAGGAATTATACACAAGAAGTAAAAAACACCCAGTGCCTGTAGGGGAAAGACACTGGGAACTCAAGACAGGAATGGGAGAGCAACTTTTCACGATATGACCATTTTCTACTTTTAAAATATTAACTTATGTAAATGTTATTTATTCAAAATACAATAATCATACATTTTATAAAAGTGAGTTCTCTATCCCTAAGAAATGTATAATCTAATGACTTACCCAGGCTTCAAAAAACAAAAGAAAAAAAATCACACTTTTTCCTTTACCAATGGTCAGATATTTAAATATTTCACACATACTTTATTCTTACTTAAAACCTCATTCTATGGCCTGGCACAGTGGCTCATGTCTGTAATCCCAGCACTTTCTGGGGCTGAGGCAGGCAGATCTCTTCAGGTCAGGAGGCCAGCCTGGCCAACAGAGTGAAACCCCATCTCTACTAAAAATACAAAAATTAGCCGGGCGTGGTGGCACACACCTGTTAGTCCAGCTACTTGGGTGGCTGAGTCACAAGAATTGCTTGAACCCAGGAAGTGGAGGCTGCAGTGAGCCAAGATCACGCCACTGCATCCCAGCCTGGCCAACAGAGCAAGACTCTGTCCCAAACAAACAAACAAACAAACAAAAAACCAAAAAACTTTCTATACCATTTGAATTTCCATTTCCAACAAACTAATCAATTTTGGAAAAAAACTCAAACTTGATCTTAAAATGGAAACTGCAGTGATCCTTACCATAATCTTGTATTATTTAGCTTTTAAAAAATCTTTGCATAAAAGTATATACATTTCAAGAAAAAAATCATCTTGTTGGAAAACATGGCAAAGACTGGTTGAAAATCTCCCAGGGAAGCCGCAGAATGGTCTTCTGTATCATGTGGGAGATAAGGCTGGGTCACTCTGATAGGCCCTGGAGCTGAGAATGTTAGTGGCTTCCCAATATCCTCTCTTCTCTTCTTCCTTAGTAACAAAACCCCAGTTTTCATTTTAGCATATTACTGTACACGCTTCCCCAGAAAAGGACTACATCTTCCATCCTCCACTACAGCTACATATGGCCCTAAGACTAATTCCGACTAATGAGATATAAGCAGAAATGTTACATGGAACTTCCTGGAAGTTTTCTTAGGTAGGGGAGGGGACACCCCTCTTTTCTTCCTCTCAAACTGCTTTGTGGAAAGGGGGAAATGATGGCTGAATCATCTAGGCCCATCCTACAGTCAGAGAAGTAAACAGCAGTAAGGATCTTAGATCCTTGGTAACCAGACAGCGCCATATTAGCCTGGACTGCCTAATTTCAGACTTCTTTTTCATGAAAGACAAATGAATCTCTCTCTTGTTAAGATTCTGTGTGGGGAAGAGGAGATTGTTATATGCAGCTGAACTTAATCCTAAATGTTTTCAATAATAAATTATTTACTTTAACTTACAAATCAAAACTCGATTTTTTTTTTTGAAACAGAGTGTCGCTCCGTCGCGCAGGCTGGAATGCAGTGGCGTGACTCCAGCTCACTGCAACCTTCACCTCCCGGATTCAAGAGATTCTTGTGCTCAGCCTCCCAAGTAGCTGGGATTACAGGTACCCACCACCATGCCCAGCTAATTTTTGTATTTTTAGTGGAGACGGGTTTTTGTCACATCGGCCAGACTGATCTCGAACTTCTGACCTTAAGAGATCTACCTGCCTCGACCTCCCAAAGTGCTGGAATTACAGGTGTGAGCCACTGTGCTCTACCCAAAATTCAATTTCACTTGAAACAACAGAAAGCTTTATGCACATCAACAGTGTGCACATTTGATGACCAAAACAGAGACTGTCAAAGAATCTTGAAATGTCTATTTCAAATGTTTAGGCCAAGAAGTCAACTGGTGTATCACTCTGATCTACTATCCATAACTATTCCACACCAAAATGATAGAAATAAAATTTTAACTTAACCATTCTTGAATTCGTATAATGAGAAACAGTCAAATATGGATACACTCAGTTTCTTCACCTGCAAAATGGAGTTAATAATGCCTACATTACAGGGATGTTGTCAAACCCAAATAGAGAACAAATGTTCTTCAACTTACAATGGGATTTTGTCCCTATAAACTCATCATAAGTTGAAAATATAGTAAGTCAAAAATGCATTTAACACACCTAACCTACCAAACATCATAGCTTAGCCTAGCCTATCTTAAACATGCTCAGAACACTTACATTAGGTTACAGTTGGGTAAAATCATTTAACACAATGCCTATTTTATAATAAAGTGTTGAATATCTCATGTAATTTACTGAATATTATAATAAAAGTGAAAAAATGGGTACTCAGATGGTTTCTACTGAATGAACATTGGTTTCTACTGAATGTGTATTGCTTTTGTACCATTGTAAAGTCAGAAAACTGTTAAGCAGAACCATTCTAAGTTGTGGATGGTTCAACATCTGTATGTTAGGCTATTATGTAAACAGAGCAATATATACTATTGTTATCATTACAATTACCACCACAATAGCCAATTGGTAAATATGAGTCACAAAATAAAAAATACTAGATGAAACCTATTAAATAGGCAGAAACTTAGGTTTGGGGCTCAAGGAATTCAGTGAACTTGCCAAGCCTCTTTCATCCAATTTCTCATCTATTTTTTTTTTTTTTTTGAGATGGAGTCTCGCTCTGTCACCCAGGCTGGAGTGCAGTGGCATGATCTCAGCTCACTGCAACCTCCACCTCCCAGGTTCACACCATTCTCCTGCCTCAGCCTCCCAAGTAGCTGGGACTACAGGCGCCCGCCACCACGCCTGGCTAATTTTTTGTATTTTTAGTATAGACAGGGTTTCACTGTGTTAGTCAGGATGGTCTCGATCTCCTGACCTCGTGATCTGCCCACCTCGGCCTCCCGAAGTGCTGGAATTACAGGAGTGAGCCACTGCGCCCAGCACATCTCGCTATCTTTCAGAAAATCATTGTTATCAGGTTTGGTGCAGTGGCTCATGCTTCTTGTTGCAGCTGCTCAAGAGGCCAAGGTGAGAGGATCGCTTGGGGCCAGGAATTTGAGACCAGCCTAAGCCACATAGCAAAACCCAGTCTCTTAAACATATATATATGAAAAAATATACATTACATCAGGAATTTCAGTTTCCTTCTTTAAAGTATGGGTGGAAAGAAGGGAGTTGAGAGGTTGTAAGGGGAGAAAAAGAACAACAGCAGTAAAAGGCTTAAAGTAATTAGGAAGTCAGATACACCTGAAATATGTAACCCTGTTTTAGCATTTTACAAGTTGTCAAAAGGTAATACAACAATTTTAAAAGTAACGCTAGCAATATTTTTCTTCATTCAAAAGAAAAATACTAAATACAAATATAGTTTCTACTTAGTATGCAACAATCTATCATGAAAAGTGCAATGTCTCCGAGCAATGTCTTCGAGAAATAAGGGTAACATGTGAGTCCCCCTGTTGGAGCGAAGTGGCACAATCTCGGCTCACTGCAACCTCCGCTTCCCGGATTCAAGCGATTCTCCTGCCTCAGCCTCCTGGGTAGCTGGGATTACAGGCACAAGCCACCATGCCCGGTTAATGTTTTTGTATTTTTAGTAGAGACAGGTTTCGCCATGTTGGCCAGGTTGGTCTCCAACTCCTGACCTTAGGTGATCCACCCACCTCGGCCTCCCAAAGTGCTGGGATTATAGGCGTGAGCCACTGTGCCGGGCCTTACTTTCTTTTTTAGGCAGAAAAAGAAGATAATTTTTAACCTGTACCCAAAGGCATAGACAATACAAATGTAATCTATTTTGATGATTGACAATCATAAATATTTACTTAATTTCAACAAAGTCATGATTTTTTGCTCTTTAAACAAAATATAACTGAATCTCTTTAACTTTTATACTTAAAATGATTTAACTTCTCCAAAATGTTTAAAGTTTGAAAAAAAGCCAATGAAGTCACTTCCTGAAGCCATTAATTCATCTTTTTAACACTACTTCTGGTGACTTTAATCCACACACACATTGTACGTGAGTCATACTGATGCTGTGTTATTCAATTCATTATATTTTGAAAAGTACTCTATGGTCAAATTAACTTTGAGAAACACGGTTTAAGCAATTTTATTGTTTGCCCAATTTGAATTTTCGCAGGCTTCTAACAGGATACTTAAATTAATAGATGCTTTTTTACAAATTTCACATATACTCATAGGAAGAAAACAAGCTATCCAGGGGTGTCAGAGATAGGTAGCTGACAGGCAGACAGATGCCAAGAATTTGCTCCACAATTTAAAGGGCTACAATCAGGATAACAGAAGTGTGAGAAACAGACTCAGACAGCTTAAGGGTTTTTGTTGCCCAGAAGGAATACCAATGGAAGGGATACCATTGTCCATTTCTATACCTTTCTGTTCTGAATAGCCATATCCAAGCAGCTTTACTGTGTGAGATTCCTGGAGAATTAGAAGTACTCCCACTTCCCTAGATGATTCATTTGTAATGCCAACTTATGTGTCTGAATGCATGCAAAGGAGGTTGAGGGTCTTCTGAACTAGCGGAAAAAAACTGAAATAACATTATTTTCTGAGAAGGTAATCTATTTTAATCCATACAAATCCATTTGGGCTTTACCATTCTATCCCATATATAAGCAATGGCTGCAGCATCAAAATGTTCCTTAAAATTAGTACATGCCAAACTCTATAAACTTATTTTCAGGCTATGACTTTACTTTTAATAACATAAATGAGTTCAGTGGGACTTATTTTAATTATTTCTGAAACGGTTTATTTTTAGTAAATATAATAGTCCCCCACATGGAAAGCTATAACCATGACAAAAATTTTCTAGGAGGAGATAAAACCCTATTTATAGACCTATCAGTTGCTCCTTGCTTAGGTTGTAACATAGTTTCCACTTTAAGCCTGATATGACCTCCCGGGACTTCTCTGGTCTCTAATAATGTCCCTTTCATCCTGAAGTTTCCCACATTTATCTTTATCTCCCCCAGGTACTTAAGTTAAGCTACTATGGGTTGGGGGAAGGGAGAAGGAAAGAATCTTCTTTGTAAAAGCCATCTCCTACAGAAGAGTTTTAGGTAATTTTCAGGAACTTAAAAAATGAAAGATAGTTCTTCACTTGGTGGGCTTTTTTGGGAGAGAACCTCATAAATATTCAACAATCATCAGGAATACTGCTACACAGTAATCAATGCATATGGGAAATGGAAATGGCAACAAGGCCTACTGGTGTCTTAATCGACCTCTGATTTATCTTAAAGTTTTGCATCTTTTAAAAATCCAACAAGAGTAAAGGTATTTTAATATACAGGATACCACATTCTCTAATCAGAGGAAAGCTAATCAAGGGAGCCAAAATATAAATAAATGTAAGAAATTTTTCCTAAAAATTGTGATCTCAGGGATTAAGTTGTTATTATTGGTGTTGTTTACATTAGCTGCTGGTATCGTTACACTCCTCACTTAAAATGCTAATTGGTGGAATCTCCCCTTCCCAATCTCTGCCTATGACTCCATCAACAATTTTAGAAGGTATAAGTACCTTATTCTAATCCAATGAGCCATTTTCAATTTCCTTTCACTAGCAGTGGCATGACCCATATCCCATCTCACCCCAGCCCTTCCCCACTCCATACTCTGGATAAAATTTTTAATGAACCCTGTTTTTACTGCTCCAGCAAATCCTAACCCCTTTCATCTCTAAACCTCAACAACATTTGCTGGTCTTGGTTCACTCATTTTTTTTTAATCTTAAATACATACTTCTTTTTTGTTAATTCCATGTTTGTAGGTCTTGTATCCTGAATGAGACTGCAAATTGTACTCAACGTAAAGGCCTAGTGGGCAATGACACATCTTATCTCAGCATCATCAGTTGGTCATGCCAACTGACTGGCATATAACAGGCACATAATAAACATTATGGAACTATTTGTTGAGGTGATCTGGATGGCAGAAACAGCATACTACGTATACTTCTCTTATATGAATCTCTCAGAGCACACCACTGGGAAAGCCCAACATAAAGTGTGGCAGAGCTAAATCACAAGCAACTCCTCAAGAGAGGAAGGGAGAAGAACATGAGCATTCATTAATACCAACCCATCTTTCATTAGATTCCCATCAACATTCTCAGGAGCTCAAACAGATGGTGTGAACACAGGATGTACCAAGTGATGGAGCAAGCAATAACATTTCCTCACCGCAAGAAAATTCTTCCACCTTTTCCATCTACCTATATATTACTTAACCTTTAAGGCCTACCTCTTCCTGTCCACCCAATTCACAGTGAAATCCCCTAAGCTCTCCAGTACCTGAGGATGAGTAGCTATTTAGCATTTTCACTTAAAACAAGGGATGGATCCAAACTTTAACAAAAATAATTCAAAATAAACACCAGTAAAAGTCACCTGATTGTAAAAGTTGGCAAACACCAGGAAATACTTCTTTTAATTTTTTTTCAGTTGTTAAACTTATCATATAAAATGTATTTCCCTTTTTAAAAGAAGATATATGGGTTTTCCGGGGTGATCTGAGCTGAGGCATGAGCATGAATGATCAAATAAAACTCTCAAGATCATATCCCAGAGGCAGCATGGCATTGAAGAAAGAACTGAGGTTTGAAAGTGAAACAGACCTACAATCAAATTGCCAAATCACCATTCATTAGCAGTGACCTTGAGCAAGTACTTTAACCCCTCTTAACCTGTTTTGTAATCAACAAATGCAGAATTAAGATGAAAATTAGAAATAATGTACATAAAACACCTAGGCCAGTGCCTTTCTTAATAAATTTCAATTGTTAATGGTTTTGTCTATTGTCATTTTTCTTAGCCCACAACAAATGACAGAAAATGATTTATTGGCAAATCTGACATTTTAGGGCTTCTACTGTAATTTTTTTTTAATTGGAAGTAACCAAAATATTAATAAGAACTCACCTTTAAAAAGCTATTTTCTCTGTGAATTTAAAAGTAAACCGTGGCCAGTTGCAGTGGCTGGTGCCTATAATCCCAGCACTTTGAGAGGCAGAGGAGGAAAGGAAGATTGCTTGAGCCCACGAGTTCAAGATCAGCCTGGGCAACATAGTGAGACTCTGTCTCTATTTTTAAAAAGTAAAAAAAGTAAGATCTGCAGGAAGAGAAACAGAAAGTGTTCTCTTGGGTAAGGTGTATCTATTAAATCAGATGGCTAGGATAATTTACAAGCAAAAAAATAAAGCTCTTTAAGGGAGCGCCTAACAGGATATATATATCCTGTTATTTCTATTGTGTGTGTGTGTGTGTGTGTGTGTGTGTATACATATATAATTATATCATTATAATATGTGTGTATATGTATGTGTGTGTGTGTATATATATATATAGATGGATAGAGATATACCGATATATATATGGTTTACTCCTACCTGGAATTTCTATGATATCTATAAATCTATATAGGTTTATAGATATAGATATCATAGAAATTCCAGGTGGGGATAAACCCAATATTGTAGTATCTATGTCATAGAAAGGCTATGGGTAAAGATAATTTTTTAACCTAATCAAAATTCTGCTCCTCCCTCAAACCAGGGATATTTACCTGATAATCACAAGCCAAAGGGAAAGAGAAAAGAAAATATCTGCCTGTCTAAGAAAAGGGGAATGAGGAAGGGGTGGGCAGAGCTGGCTATAAAGGACGGGAATTTCTTTATGGAGGAAGGAGAAAATTGAATGCTGTACCATCTTCTTTTGCTGCTTTCAGGTGATGGAGGAATCCCTAAGTCATTTACTTGCTCTAGTAGCGGGGCTGTGAAAGAGGAGACAGTAATGTTTGGTCCTCCTACAGGGCAGGATTAAAAGCTGTGAAGGAGTTAAAGAATATCAGAGTGAAAATGCTGGCAGGACTTCTAGGGCCTTTTTAGCCAGCCTAGTGGAATGGAAGAGTCTGGGCATTAGAGCCAGATGGGCCTTCCTTAAGTGACCTTGGGCAAGCTGGACAGCCTCTCTAGCCTACACTTTTCTCATCTGTAAAATTGGGTTAACAGCATTTGCCCTGCAGAGTCATAAGAATTTAATAAGGTAACAAATAAAAACAAACTGCTTCAGAATAGGCACTCAATACAGGTTAAATGCTTTTCCCCTAAACCTCAAGGCTAGCGATAAAACGCCACTGGAATATATAGTGATATACCATACATGCCCATTTTCTCCTTTTCCTCTCATTGTGCATAAAGAGAAGCAAGTCTAAAAAGAGAAAATAACTTTTCCAAGGTTGCAATACTAGTTACTGGCAGAATTGGGGCTAAAAGCCAGTTCCTTCAAGTTCAATGCAATGTACCTCGCCTCATTAGGAACAATCCCTTAGGGATGGGCTCTGAGAGTAGATGCCAACAAGAAAACAAGCTAACTGCAATGTCTGCCATTCCCTGTGATTCAGATACCTAAGAGTTAAACATTCAGTCTCAGCTACAGCTCCGGAGTTGGCTGACTCCTTAGGCACTGAAATCCATTCCTCTACGTGATTGGTTGGTTCCCAAAGGGGTGGGGAAGAGGAAAAGGGAGAAGAATGTCACCCGATCCCCGGGGGTAAACAACAGCAAAAGCATCTGCTCAGGTTTTCAACTAAATCTGTGAAATATTTCTGAACACTTGACCACCAAACTTGAAAAACTGTTAACTTCTGACCTTAATCAAAAAGGTTGTTCTGTAATGACCAGATCCTTAGTAATGCAATCTGGACAAACAAATGCAAAAAGACAGTTTAATATTTCTCTAGCACAAAATTAGTACCCAGTGCTCGTGTGCTCTAGGTGCTTGAAATCGACACTGCCACCAACCCTCCTCCCCCTTTGCCATTACAGAGAGAAACCAGCCTGCTTGCTTCCACCCTACCATTTTACTCGAACTCTGCCATTTCGGAAATATGACAGGACTACACAATCACATTCTCTCCTCTGAGCCACCTCCTTTAAGAGCAGCCCCATCCCCTTGTAACTTTCTGTAATTATGTTAGCACACATGTGCAGGGCAGAGAGAAGGGAGGGTTTGGGGAGAGAGAAACCCAATACCCTGCCAAATCCATTGGGAAGTCTGCCCAAGTTATTAATCCAGGACGGGGCCACTTAACTAAATTAGTTGAGGCAATGCCCTTCAATTGTAGCTAGATTCTTTCCCCAGGGGAGAATGCAGGAAGTGTCTGCCTCCTCAAAATCTTATTACCCCAAACAACTCTTTTTTTCTTCAGAAGTTTCTCTCTCCCATTTCAAAGCTATGTACAAAATACTTTTGTTTTATGCAGAGAATCAGAGAGGCAGCCGCTCTCCCTGAGTACACTACAGGGACTCCACACGACTGGTCAGTAAGGAGCTGCTGAAAAGTGCATTCCCTTTGTTCTTACAGCCACAATGAAATTTTAAAGTCCCAATTATGTAAACCAGGGTGAGGGATGAAGAGCTACAGTTAAACCAAAGAGAAAGCCTCCTGCAGAATGACTAAACCTGGAAGTCCTTTTACAGTCTCAACCAGTACATGAATCAGCTCTAGTTCACCTTAATACGGCACCAGAAACGAGGAGTAAGCCATACCCTCTCCCAGGCCCACCCTAAACAATCTGGAATTGCTGGACAGATCATCTCTCAGAAACTGTGTAGACTACAAATGACCCAAAACCACTCTACACTCACTCAAAGAGGAAAGATTCCTCAATACTGAGCACAAGCAAATCAGCTCCAGGAAGTTAAGTGGCAGAGGCTCCGTATGCCTCCTCTTTGTCTCTATTCTTTAATCCCAAAGCCAGATTTAATCTAAATCATGTTACTAATGCCCTGTGCTAACACAGATGTCTCATTTATAAATCCTAGGGAACATAAGTGACTTAGCTCTCTTTCACAGTAATGCTCAGCAAATTAACTACTCAAGGAGGTTCAGTATGGTTACTAAAAACATAGGCTTCGGTATCAAGCTAACCTAGATTTAAATGCCTGTTCTACCACTTTCCAGCTCTGTGACTTGCTCTTCTCTAAAGCCCAGTTTCTTCATTGGTAAAATATGGCTTCTACTGTCCACCTTATAGAGAGAATGGGTGTTTGCATGTTTGTTTGTTTGTTTGTGACAGGGTCTCACTCTGTTGCTCAGGCTGGAGTGTAGTGGCATGATCTTGGCTCACTACAACCTCTGCCTCCCGGATTCAAGCAATCCTCGTGCCTCAGCCTCCCAAGTAGTTGGGATTGCAGGCATGGGCCACCAAACCCGGCTAATATTTGTATTTTTAGTAGAGACAGGGTTTCGCCATGTTGTCCATGCTGGTCTTGAACGCCTAGCCTCATGTGATCTGCCTGCCTCGGCCTCCCAAAGGGCTGGGGTTACAGGCACAAGTCACCGTGCCCAGCCAGGAGAGTGGTTGTTAATAGTAATGAGGAGTGGGCCGGCCGTGGTAGCTCATGCCTGTAATCCCAACACTTTAAGAGGCTGACGCGGGCGGGTCACCTGAGATCAGAAGCTCGAGACCAGCCTGGCCATCATGATGAAACCGTCTCTACTAAAAATACAAAAATTAGCTGGGAATGGTGGCTCATGCCTGTAATCCCAGCTACTGGGGAAGCTGAGGCAGGAGGTTTTGCAGCAAGCCGAGATCACGCCACTGCACTCCAGCCTGGGAGACACAGAGAGACTCTATCTGAAAAATTTAAAAAAAAAAAAAAAGAGTAATGAAAAGTGGATGGTATGTGCATATGTGCATTAGCACAATACCTGATGCATAGCAAGCATTCAGTAAATAGTACCTGGTACTATAAATTATTATTAAGGACCATAAAACAACTTCTATAAAGGAATAACACGGCCATCTGACAACCTTATTAGCATTCCTGCATCTTACCCATCCCATCATGAATGGTAAACAGCATGAGAATGCCAAAATTTATTTAATGACTATATTGAGCAACTCCTAGGTGATGGGGGAAAAGAGTGAAGGATACAACTTCTCCCTAAAAAGGAGCTCATGTTGGTAGGGGAAGACACAACAAAAAAGAAGGGGAGGAAGAGAAAGTACTGAAAGGGGTCTCAGTATGGAACTACTACCCAGCTTAAGTGTTCCACTGTGAAGGGGCTGGGTTTAGATCTATCTCAGCCGTCAGGGTCATGTTGAATAGATCTGTTAGGGTCATGGGGCAGGAAAATGTCAGAAAGCAAGGCCCATTCTGGAATTCTATACACTAAGAATGAGGGGAGGGGACAGTGAAAATGCACAGTGAGAGAAGGATTTTTATCTTTTCTCTTCACATTATGCTAGGCAAAAATTATAGCAGGCATAGAGTTGACAACCATGATCAAACATTTTCAGGCAGGAACTACAAGATGACTGCTTGTTAGGTTAGTGTAGCAGCACATATTTATTTTTTAGCAAATAGACATGGGGCTCTCAAGGAATTATAATCACGTAGTCATGAAGATACTCACTGGACACAGTGCACTGCACGGGAGGCTGGGAGAAGGGGAGGCCAGAAGGGGCTGGGTTCTGTAAGTCAGTGGCGTGCAAACTCACAAACCAGTGCTCTTGCTCTTTCCTATAAATTTTCATCATCACAATCGCAATCTGTCAAACTCTCAAATACACCTTAAAGCCTGCACTGCTGATGGAGTACAGCAGGGCTTGGCCACTCCTTGGTCATGACAGTACATGTTCTTCAGGAAACAGCTCTGCACTGGGAAAAAAGCACTCCACTGAGAATGAAGGCTCAATATCACAGACTCAGCTTTGCCACTAGCAAGAGCTATAAGAAAATAAGACTATGGATTTGGTAAGTCATCTAACTTCTCTGGAACTCAGTTTCCCCAAATGTAAAACGGGGGTGATATGATTAAATGTAGCGCTGACATTCAATGGCTCAGGAACTGAGGGCCAAGCTGATGTCCTCTACCCAGAGTTCTTGTTTCAGTGTTAGGGCTGACATGCCAAAGGGCCAGGGTATCAAGACAAATGATTACAATTCACTCTCTAAACTAAACTGAAAGTTCTGGCAAAGTAGAAAGCCATCCACAACATTTCTGGTGTACAAATTAAAAAGACTTACATCCTGAGCCATACCACTCATTTTATGAAGGTATCTCTATTCCTTGGAGATTAAATCAAGAAAGTAATTAACAGGAATCAACAGAACAACAGTAAAGTCACCTGGCACCCAGAAGGGCACATTGTTTGCTTGCTAAAGGAGCCCTCCAAACTCTACAGCTGAGAAAGCATACAGGGGCCCTAGAGTCAGCATTCATTCCAAAAACACAGGAATGATGGTTGCTATTTCTGCTTAATAGATCAGGACCTCATAAATGGGTGTCATCTTCACTGGACGAATCATATAGTAAGAAATAATCTTACAAATGCCAGCACTCAACAAACTGGCAGCTCTTTAGAGAGGACTCTCTGGGGACCCAGAGCTGCAGTAACTGAGGGAAATGTATCCAGATTAGATCAGCAAAGGCCTCTCCAGTTCCCCATGAGGTATTGTAGGGGGCAATGGTGCTGGCCAACACACAAGATTTACACAATGAGCTCCCTGAATACTGCACGTGTTCGGGTCAAAAGAGCTGCCACTCTGCTACAAACAATTCATGAAGCAGCAGATGCCAACTGTCCTGTCACCTAGGCCTTTAGCTGCAATTCCTCAAGAAAGCCTGATAGCCTTGGTTTTCATAGTAGTCACCTATTCCTCCCATTTTAAATTAAGGAAAATAATCCTATTTATTGTCTCAGTCTCTTCACCTTTCTTTTCCCAACATAAAAACATGTTTTCCCACCATAAAAAAAAAATATTAAATAAGATGTGGTATATCCACATAATGAAGTATTATTTAGCAATTAAAAAATGAAGTACTGCTATAACATGGATTGTGCTAAGTGAAAACATTATGCTAAGTGAAAGAAGCCAGACACAAGGGACCACATATTCTATTGAGTCTATTTATATAAACTGTATACAGAATAGGCAAAATCTGTAGAAAAGTGGAGACCACTTGTTGCATAGGGCTGGGGAAGTAGTGGGCATAGAGGAATTAAGAAGTGATGATTGGCCAGGAGCAGTGGCTCACGCCTGTAATTCCAGCAGATTCAGAGGCTGAGGCGCGTGGATCACTTGAGGTCAGGAGTTCAAGGCCAGCCTGGCCAACATGGCGAAATGCCACCTCAACTAAAAATACGAAAATTAGGCAGGTGGCATGCGCCTGTAGTCCTAGCTACTTAGGTGGCTGAGGCAGGGGGATAGCTTGAACCTGGGAGGCGGAGGTTGCAGTGAGCCGAGATCATGCTACTGCACTCCAGCCTGGGCAACAGAGTGAGACTGTCTCAAAAAAAAAAAAAAGAAAAAGAAGTGATAACTACGGGGAATGGAGTTTCTTGTGGAATACTAAAAATGTCCTAAAACTGACTGTGGTGATGGTGATGGCTGAATGATTGTAAACATGCTAAAAGCCACACACTTTAAATGGGTGAACTGTACAGTATGTGAATTATATCTCAATAAAGCTGTTTTAAAGTGCCCTTGGAGAGTATATCACCTCCTTTGGGAAGGAAATTTTAATGAGGGAACTTTGATTCTTCTAGCCATCCCTTGTTTCCAAATGCCTGCCTGCTCCTTCCTATCAATGATTCACTTTGCTATTCCCATCCTCTGCTCACTGCACTATCTAGCTCAGGTTTACACCTTTCCTACGAAAACGACTGGGCTATTAGTTTTGTTTTGTTCTTCAAGTCCACCTCCACTCTAGTGGACTTTAGTGTCCTTTCTTACACACCTAGTCTCCTTCTGTCCCAGCTCACATAGTAAAACAATACATATACACAGAATAGTGGCTAAACACCTGCCACACCATGAAAAAAAGAATGAGGATAAACGACAGCATAAAAGCACAGGTTTGGGAGTTTTAACTAATTTGGTTCCAATCAAAGCATTTGGCCAAGTTACTTTAAATGTCACTGTCAGTTTCCACTGCTGTAAAATGGGGAAAACTAATGTATCTAATTGCATGTGGTTATTATAAAAATTAAATGATTAATATGATGCCTGGTCATGAAGGTCCTCAATAAATAATAACTGCTATTTATGGAAGTCTTATGCCCAGTTTTTCTCATGCTGTCATTCGGCAGCTCAGCCTCTATGTCAAAAAGCCAACAATAAAAGCAGGCTGTTGGTGCCATCAAATTGTTCACCATCAGTATTCCTATTTGTTCTAACCCATCTAACTCACAGATCCCAGTCTATTCCTGATACTTTGGCTTTTTTACTTCAATTTGTTTTCTTATTTCTGGGCTCACTTTAACCTCAAACATGTTTAGTATTGCCTTTCCAGTTCCATGTCCCCTTCTCAACCAAAATCTGCTTACTGCCTTAATTTTATACTTTAAGCCACTCTGGACAAATTGTTTACCCATAGTACCAAAGCACTCAGTATCCTATTCTTCCTAAAAGCATATCATGAAATCAAAACAAGACGGACTTTAGCAAGAATTATGATAAAAAAGCTTACAACCTTACAAGGGACTACTTGGCAGCCATGAAATGATGCAGCAGACATAGCTAATGGCATGAAACGATGTTTATAATAAAGTAGGCCTGAGCTGGAGGCATTTTACAAAAGTTTACACAATATGATTGACATCTGGTAAGGAATTTTAAAATGTGTATATATGCAAACAGAGTTACGCTGAAACAAGATAATCAACAACAAAACGTTAAGATAAAGTTAAATATATTAAGGCAGATTTTATTCTATTCTTTTGATCTGCTGTATATTCTAAATTTTCTTCAATGAATGCAAATTACTTTTGTTTTAAAAAAATATTTTAAGGACTTTTAAAAAAGAATTAATTTAAAGATTGCAACGCCTCTTAGCATTTTCTTACCAGCCACTATAGTATGGCTCAGGAGTCAGAAAAACCAGGGTTCAAATCCCTATTCTACCACTTATTCTATGTACGACTTTGGCAAATCACTTAATGCTTTTAAGGCTTGCTGTTCTCATGTGGAAAATGAAGAGGAAACTCCTAGCCAAGTACTTGGCACATAGTCTTCCATAAATACCAGTGCCCTTAACTCTTCCACTCCTTTACCCTATGACAGTGGTTCTCAAGTTGAGTGTGTATAAGAATTACCAAAGCATGTTAAAACAGATTACTGGACCCCATCCTCAGAGTTTCTGATTCAGTAAGTCTGGGGAAGAGGCAGAGACCATGAATAAAGGTAAGTTCCCAGGTGATGCTGATGCGGCTGGATTTGAAGCCACACTTTGAGGATACTGCTCTAGGCAATAAGACTTACAAAGTCTTCTTACAACATGTTATACAGGTATGAAGTGCTCTTTCACATCAAAAGTATTTCAGGAATACATGCTCACTGGATACTGAATTAAATTAGAAGCTAATACTGCACATCCACCCAAAAGGCCAACCTTACAACATGGGATAATTCACCCCAGCACATTGAGGGAATTGGTCTTCCACTTAAAGCAGTCAGCAAATAACAATTATTAACACTGCATTTAGAATATTCTGGTTCCAGCATGGGAGAAAACATGAGAATGCAGACACAGATCAGACAAATGAAGAGATGGACAAGAGAATCCACTGCAAGAAGTTCTGTGCCTGTCTGGTAAATTCATCTGGGGCAGAGGGGCAGATTCTGTTGTGTCACAGAACACTTGCTTTGCTCTGGGTGCCCTCTGTTGACAAAAACTGACATAGCCACTTCCTTCCCTCCCTTTTCTCCTCCCACCCTAGGGCCAAGAGTCCCACTAGTGTGACTCAGACTTGAGGCAAGGTTTCCAGTTAGAAAATTTTCCTAAGCCCATATGTAGGCAAGACAGACCTTTCCTTCCTCCAGCTTTCCTAAGTCCCCTTCTCTGTGTGCTTGTATCTGCAGCTTATCTCCAAACAGGTTAATTGTTTCAGGACCATGGAACAAAAAGTGAACAGCATTTAGCATAATGATATGTGAAATTTAAATCACAATTGCATTTCATTTTAGAAATGGCTAGTATTCACACAGAGGGAATAAACTGAGTTTGTAAATAGTGTCAAATACAATGTGAAACTCTGTTGGTATTAAGAATACTGATAAGGCCGGGCATGGTGGCTCATGCCTGTAATCCCAGCACTTTGGGAGGCCATCGCGGGCAGATCACGAGGTCAGGAGTTCGAGGCCAGCCTGACCAACATAGTGAAACCCCATCTCTACTAAAAATACAAAAATTAGCCGGGCATGGTGGCTAATTTTCCAGCTAGTCAGAAGGCTGAGGCAGAAGAATTGCTTGAACCTGGGAGGCAGAGGTTGCAGTCAGCCAAGATTGCGCCACTGCACTCCAGACTGGGTGACAGAGCTAGACTCCATTTCAAAAAAAAAAAAAACTAGACATGTCTAAATCAGGACTTTGGTCTATGGGCTACTTGTTTTTGTAGAACCCACACACAGACTACCAGCTAAGATAGCTTTTACATCTTGTAATGATTGAAAGAAAAAATCAAAAGAAAAATGACATTTCATGACATATAAAAATTATATGAAATTAAAATTTCGGTACCCACAAATAAAGTTTTACTAGAATAGAGCCACAATCTTTTGTTTACTATAATCTAAGCCTGCTTCCCTGCTACCGTGCCAGAGTTCCTGAGTAGCTCTAACAGAGACCATATGGCCCAGATGCTCTCAGATGCTTTACAGAAAGTTTGCCCCCTCCTGTTTTAAACTATTGATAAATGTGACACCTGAACCTTCAGTCAGGTATGAAGTGCTGGGTTTGAAGTCCTATGGCTCTGTCTTAGCAATGACTTCCCCCAACATTTAGTGTGAGTCCTGCACGTGGTGAGGGGTCAGCCTACACTGCCTAACACACTCCCCTTGCATCCACAGAAGCTGAAGGTACTGTGATAGATTTCTGGCATGTTTTTTGGCTAATACTTATCAGCAATCCTATAAAAGCATCCCATCTTACAAATGAGGAAGTAAGCCTAAGGGAAGTTAAGTATCAGTCCAAACTGGAATTTGAACTCAGGTCTGTCTGACACCAGAGTTCTTTGATCATTCCTCACTGGTTTTCAAACTGTCTTCCAGTCAGCAGAGCCTTATGGGGGAAAGGGCTCCAGGCCTTTCATATCTTTTTTTTCTTTTTTCTTTTTCCTTTTATTTCCCCAACTTCTTACACTTCCATATTGTTTTAGAGATAGGGTCTTTTGTCGCCCAGGCTGGAGTGCACTGGCACAGTCAGCTCACTGAAGCCTCGAACTCCTAGGTTCAGGCCATCCTCTTGCCTCAGCCTCTAGAGTAGCTGAGACTACAGGTGCACACCACCACATCTGGCTAACTTCCAAATCTTTTCTAGGAGGACCATTCCATTTGCCTTTTTAATAAATTGTGGCCAAGGAATTGGTTTTTTTTAAAAAGCCAATTTTATGCCACTTATTACCACCCTTGGCAAATCTCTCAGGAAACTGCAAATCTTGATTTCCTCATCTGCCAATGGAGATTAAAACCCTTCCCCCCCACCCAAATAATAAAGACTCACTGGGGTCTTACCAAAGATCAAATGAGAATGGGTATGAAAGCAATACCCATTACAGGTATTACAGCAATACCTGTAAACTATACAGGACTATAGATACATAACACATAACTATCACCCCTTAGTAAATAGGGAAGCAAGTGGGAAGCAAGTGGGGAACATAATGTTTGCTGCTGAGCAAAGAAAAATTAAGCATGCAAGTAAAATGCAAAAAAAAAAAAATTCAAATAAAAGTAAATAAATGCCCAGTGCAAATATCAACCCTGGAATTTAACACATTTATTTTAAAACCCAGATTCACTCATTAACAACTACATAGCCTTGGACAATGACTTAATCCCTTTGAGCCTTGGTTTCCTCACCTGCAAATGGGATTTAAAAACTACTTGCTTTATACAGTGCCTGCACATAGTCAGTATTCCACCTGTTAGCCCTCTTTTCATTAGGACACCCCCTGTCCCATGCCGAGACGTGTGTTACTCTGAAATTAAGATAATGTATGGGTTCCCTGTACCAATAATAGAATACCAGAATTAAAGAGCTAAAAGTATCTTTATCTTAAACGATCCTGTGATCCACACGACACCACAAAGCTTGTGAGAGCACAGGCTAAAGACACACTAAGGGAACAAAGATCCTAATGTAGTAATAGGAGATACATGGGAAAAGTTCTACTAATTCAATAAGTATATTTATTGAGTGTCTTAAGAGCCTTCTATGGCTCCATAAAATGACAGATTTACATTTAATATCCACTTGACCAAACCCATTAAACTTGTAAGAGGCACTCTCTTGCTGAACATCAGATATCTAGCTTCTTAAGTATTAATTTTTCATATCGCTCTGGCAAGGCAAAGGCAATAAAAACCTAGTGAAAGTCTGACCACAGTTTTGCTTTTTCCCCCACTTTGTCCATAAGAGAAAATCCAAATGGAGTAGTCTCTGTATTTCAACAAGCTGAAGTTGAGTTTATTTAATTTATCCCGTTACCACACTTTACCAAATTCATATTGGGCACATACTTTGTGCAAAGTATTCAAGAAAACTAAGAAGCATGAGAGAACTCTTGTTCTTACAGAATTCTGTGTGTTGGTCAAACCTTTTCACCATAATGCAATAGGCAGTGATAAAGTACTATTACAAAGTAGGAGGCTGGGCTGGGCATGGTGGCTCACGCCTGTAATCCCAGCACTCTGGGAAGCCGAGGTGGGCGGATCACTTGAGGTCAGGAGTTCAAGACCAACTCGAACTGGCCAACATGGTGAAACCCCATCTCTACTAAAATAAATATATATATATATAAAAGTTAGCCAGACGTGGTGGCGCATACTTGTAATCTCAGCTACTCGGGAGGCTGAGACAGGAGAATCACTTGAACTCAGGAGGCAGAGGTTGCAGTGAGCCGAGATCCAGCCGCTACAATCCAGCCTGGGCAACAGAGCAAGACTTTATCTCAAAAAATAAAAATAAAAAATAAAAAAATTTAAAAAAAAAGTAGAAGGCCGGGTGCAGTGGCTCACACCTGTAATCCCAACACTTTGGGAGCCTGAGGCAAGAGGATTGCTTGAGCTCAGGAATTCAAAACCAGCCTGGGCAACATAGCAAGACGCTGTCTTTACTAAAAATAAAACATTAAAAAATTAGCTAGGCGTGGTAGCACATGCATGCCTGTAGTTCCAGCTACTTGGGAGGCTGAGGTGGGAGGATCACTTACTTGAGCCCAGGAGTTCGAGGCTCCGCCACTGCACTCCAGCCTGAGGGACAGAGAGAGATCCTGTCTCCAAAAAAAACACAAAAAGCAAAGTAGAAAGCATGTGCCCTGGGACACTGAGTCAGCTCGCAAATAAATGCACTAGCCAAAACCTCAAGGAGAAGGTAGCATTTGAAGTGAGATTTAAAGGACGACCTGTATTTAAACATGGGACATGGGAAATAGTGTAAGTAAAGGAATTAGAATTCAAACCCACATTTAATTCCAAAGCTACGCTACCCCACCCCACAGTGTGGCTTGAACAGAGTACCTTACACAAAACAGAAGGAAAAAGACTGAGGCCATATCACAGAAGGCTTAGGATATCACACTAAAGAATATTCAGCAGATAAAAGCTAAGCAGAGTAATGAGACTCCAGTGAGATCAGAGCTGTTTAAATGCATGATTACATAGTACTTGCTGAGAGTATTTTCTGGTGGTACCAAAGTTTCTAACACAAGATCTTAAGTTACCTGTTGTATTCCCCTGTCTCTCTAATCAACCCTAGATGAGATCAGTATAATAGTATGCAGCTAATGCTATTAAGAAAATTAAAATATTTAATCTGTAACTGAAACCCGTAACTATATTGTCCACCAACTATGAGGCCTTTTGTCTTACCTTATACTTAATTAGTTGGTTTCATTCTAAATCATCTGCCAGTGACTGTCTGTTGAAGAACAAAGCACTGAATAAATATGTCAAGCTTCTTAAATGTAACTCACAAAATGGTAGCCAGAATTGATTATAAAAGACCATCGATTGCTTGGTAGTACTAACCGCTACAGCAAGAATATCCCTACTAACTACTTAGCTGCCCTAACCAAGTCTAGTCAGATGAATTTCTCGATTTTGAAAATTGCTAATGGAAATTCTATAATTTTCCTTTGTAAATGGCCCTATCTTTAGTCAGATAATTCTTTTTGATGGTCACATTAAACCTCTCATTACAATACAAATCAATTGCCTATATACAAAATAACAGGTCAATCTATTGAAAAGTCAATCAGTGAAATTATGATCCATCCATTAACAAAATATTTAAGCAACTGGGTCATGAGTGGACTAACAATCACAGCTCAACAATCCCAGCAACCCTAAACTAAGCAAAAAGAGGCAAAGCTAGGGGGAAAAGTCAAACTGCGGCATAAAAGGCAAGATGTGACAAACCAGGTACAGAAGAGCGATGAGAATAAAAGCCAGCCATATTTTTAATACTTCTGGCATCATTCATCTATCCACAGATCCACAGTAGCCCTGAAGGATTTAGGAGGTGAGAGAACGCTCAAAGTATGACACTCCCAGGACCCACAAAAACCAAACCCATTACCACCAAAGAGTCCTTAAAGCAAAAAGAAGAAACTTGGGCCCAGAGATGAGAAGATGAGAAGAGACTTTCTGGGTTACCTGGAAAGCCAAAGGCAGAGTTTAGTGCAACCTATTTTCACAACATCAGGCAATAAGTCACTCTTGACCTAGGACATTTTTAAGACTTTAATCCTTTCAAACATCCTATGGTATCCTCACATTCACAGAAAGCTGAGTCTTGAGAGAAGTTAAGTGATTTCCTCCTAGTCCTCGCAGTATTTCCCAAACTCTCTTGGATCCAAACTTTATGGAAATGTTCATACAGACATGTTAAACGATTTGAAACAATCAGAGGCAATAAGGAAAAATTTCATAAGGGAGATTAAGTTGTGAACAAGGATCTTAATGGATACTTAGGATTCTGCTGGTAAAGGAGAAACATTTCAAACGAAAGGCATTAGGAAGAAATAAATGCCCAAGATAGATATTTGAAGGACAGTGAAGAGACATATATAAAGCAGAAGAAAGGCCGGGCACAGTGGCTCACGCCTATAATCCCAGCCCTTTGGGAGGCCAAGTCAGGTGGATCACCTGAGGTTGGGAGTTCGAGACCAGCCTGACCAAAATGGAGAAATCCTGTCTCTACTAAAAATACAAAATTAGCTGGGTGTGGTGGCACATGCCTGTAATCCCAGCTACTCAGGAGGCTGAGGCAGGAGAATTGCTTGAACCTGGGAGGTGGAGGTTGCGGTGAGCCAAGATCGCACCATTGCACTCCAGCCGGGGCAACAAGAGTGAAACTCCGTCTCAAAAAAAAAAAAAAAAAAAAAAGCAGAAGAAATATGTTACTAGGGTAGTAATGAGAAACAGAGCTGGAAAAATGGGAAGCAAATTGTAGCGAGCCTTGAATGTCTGGCTCAGTTTTTACAAAATTCTGCTCAAGTTATAAAGTCCCAAAAATGACTCCCTCTTATACGCATGCTGCCAAGACCCAAGAGTCAGGTAAATAAACTTACACAGATTTCATTTCCTTCACAAAGACCTCTTTTTCTTGGAGATGTCCAACAGCTAGATTCCTGAGCTAGAAATTTCAAATCTACAGATAATTCATTTCAAATAGTGAATAAGAATCAAAAGGAAAATGAGAAAATAGACTTAAATCAGAATGTGAGAACTAATCATTCCCTTGTAAAGCTTCCTTATGGCCTCTTTTCCATAAAATAAATGAGAAAAATGACTTACTAGCCCTATTTACATGCCAAGAAATTTACATATGTTATCTCTAATACTGTAACAACCTTTCATAATAGGAATTATTCCTATTTCACAGATGAAGAAATTGAGGCTCAGAGAACAAAAACTTGCCTAAAGTCATTTAGCCTGCAACAGCAGGATTGATATTTAAACCTAAAGCCAAGGAGGGTGTGTGCATATGTGTGTGTGTCTGTGTCTGTTGGGGGGGCAGGGGTGTCTGTCTGTCTGTCTGCAGAGAAATTGCCACAAAACAGCTTTATATAGAAGCTACAGTTTAAAAAAATAAAAGCCAATGAACCTAGCTGATCCTCACTCTGCCATATACCTTAGGACATGCAGAAAGCAGCACAATTTCTCTTCATCACATGAAGAGCTTTCCTGCCCAAACATGCTTGCCACCAAGCATCGGGAGAAGGCTGTAGCCAAGCACGAAGCCACTACAAACCTGCAAATCTTCTTTGAAGGAACCACCAGGCCTCAGCAGAGAGGCAAATGCCTGTTTTCATAGTTGCTTTCATAAAATAGTTATTCAGAATTTATGCAAACTTAGCAAATATGGATGAAAACAATTCTGTTTTCTTTTATTGGAGAAGGACGAAGATACATATTACAAAACCTCATAACTGAGAACAAATATTTGCAAATTGTAAATCTGACAAAGAACTTGTACCCAGAATATATAAAGACTTCTTACAACTCAATAAGAAGAAAAACCAAATAAAAAGTGGGCAAAAGACCTGAATAGACATCTCACCAAAGCAAACATAAGTGGCTGATAAGCACATGAAAAGGTACCTACTTAATTATTAGGGAAATGCAAATTAAACCACAATGAGCTATTACCATACACTCATTATAACAAAAAGTTAGATAAAACCAAGCCACTTTGGAAAACAGTCTGTGGTTTCTTTAAAAGTTATGCATGAGGCCACGTTGTCTCAAGCTGGTAATACCAGCTACTCAGGGAGGCTGAGACAGGAGGATCACTTGAGGCAGGAGTTCAAAGCTAAATTGAACTATGATTGCACCACCACACTCCAGCATTGGCGACCTCATTTCTCTTTTATTATGATTATTATTATTTTATTTTATTTATTTTATTTTTGTATTTCTAGTAGAGATGGGGTTTAACTGGGTTAACCAGGCTGGTCTCAAACTCCTGACCTCAAGTGATCCACCCACCTCAGCCTCCCAAAGTGCTGGGATTACAGGCATGAGCCACCACACTGGCTTATTTCTCTTAAAAAGAAGAAATTATACATGAGTTTACCATTGCCTCAGTAATTCCACTCCTAGAAATCTACCCAAGAGAAATTAAAGTATGTCAACACACAGATTTGCAGGTAATTCTTCATATCAGCACTATTCATAATAGCCAAGTTGGAAACAATACAAATATCTACCAACTGGTAAACAAATAAACAAAAGGTGATACATCACTATAATGAAATATTATTTAGCAAAAAAAAATAAAAAATGACACAGTGATACATACTACAACCTGGATGAACCTCAAAAACATTATACTAATTGTAAGAAATCTCATGCCAAAGACTACATATATCATATAATTCCATTTATATAAAATGTCCAAAAGCGACCATTTTTTTTGTTTTTTTTGAGACATGGTCTCGCTGTGTTGCCCACGCTGGTCTTGAACTCCTGGGCTCAAAGGATCCTCCTGCCTCGGCCTCCCAAAGTACTGGTATACAGGCATGAGCTACCGTGTCCAGCACAAAAGAGGCAATTTTATAAAGTCAGAAAGCAGAGCAGTGGTTGGCTGGGGGAGAGAGGGAGGACTGGAGAGGGAGCAGGGAATGACTGCAAAAGAATTTGAAAGAATTTGGGGAATGAGGGAAATGTACTAAAGCTGGACTGTGACACAACTCTATACGTTTACTAAATATCACTGAACAAGTCACTTACATTGAGTAAATTTTAGGTATAGAAATGACATCTTAATAGAACTTTTTTTTTTTTTTTTTTTTTTGAGACGGAGTCTCACTCTGTCGCCCAGGCTCGAGTGCAGTGGCATAATCTCAGCTCACTGCAACCTCCGCCTCCTGGGTTCAAGCGATTCTCGTGCCTCAGCTCCCAAGTAGCTGGGATTACAGGCACCCGCCACCATGCCCCACTAATTTTTGTATTTTTAGTAGAGATAGGGTTTCCCCATGTTGGCCAGGCTGGTTTCGAGCTCCAGACCTCAGGTGATTCCCCCGCCGCAGTCTCCCAAAGTGCTGGGATTACAGGCGTGAGCCACTGCGCTGGCCATAGAGCTTTTTAAAAAGCAACAGCCAAATACATATTTATATTTATTTTCTCTACATAGTAACTCCAAGGGAAACAAATATGTAAGACAGGCAAAGTAATAATATTTTGTTTGGATATAAAATAAATAGTCATAATAATTATTATATATTCACAAATCAATAAATATTGATTTGACCCAAAAAATGGCTTTATTAGAAGGAAAGAGGTCTATAAAACTGCTAATTTCTGGGCAGGCGCAGTGGCTCATACCTGTAATCCCAGCACTTTGGGAGGCTGAAGCAGGCGGATCACTTGAGGTCAGGAGTTCGAGATCAGCCTGGCCAACACAGAGGAACCCCATCTCTACTAAAAATATAAAAAGTAGTCGGGTTTGGTGGTGTGCGCCTGTAATGCCAGCTACAGGGGAGGATGAGGCACAAGAATCACTTGTACCCAGGAGGCGGAGGTTGCAGTAAGCCAAGATGACACACCTGCACTCCTGCCTGGGCAACACAACAAGACCTTGTCTCAAAAAATAAAAATAAAATAAAATAAAATTGCTAATTTCTCATCTTCAACAGTAGGAAGCCAAAGAATAGTGCCAAAATTTGGACAAATCATGAAACAGCAGAATAAGCATATTACTTAGCATGGCAGTGAGCAGCAGAAGAAATAAAACAGTCTTTCCTGGAGTGAAAAGATTTTTAACTGTTTGAAGAATGAAATGATCTAAAATGTAATAGTAAAGCTGATTACATGGATTGAGAAAAGTGCTACAAGAACACTAGACACTACAGCATATACCAGACCTTCATCCACTAGAGGGTGTAAGGACAACACCACAGAAGGACCTAAACTATTGATGGGTGACCTGAGGTCAGATGTTGGACAGAAGCAACAGTTTGAAAAAGCTTTGCACAAAGGCTGAAAGTGGGGTTCTAGACAACCTAACAGGGGGGAAAAAAAGCAATTTCACACTTCCTGTAATTTAAGAGCAAAGCAAAAGCATGTTTAGTTAAAAAAAAAAAAAAAAAGAGGATCAGAAAGAAAATTATTATAGATTGCGAGATACAGAAGGGGTAACGTTTTACTTCTGAACCATTTTAATTCAGTCTCCAGCTGGGGGGCCTTAGAGCTTGGGTGGAGAGATGGAAAGTAGGGGAGTGACTGCTAAAAGGTATGGGGTTTCTTGTGTCCCGGCATGGAAGCTTACGGCTGTAATCCCAGCACTTTGGGAGGTTGAGGCGGGTGGAACGCATGAACTCAGGAGTTCAAGACCAACCTGGGCAACATGGTGAAACCCCATCTCTACCAAAAATACAAAAACTAGCTGGGCATGGAGGTGCACACCTGCGGTCCCAGCTACTCAGGAGGCTGAGGTAGGAGGACCACTTGAGCCTGGGAGGTGGAGGTTGCAATGAGCAGAGATCATGCCACTGCACTCCAGCCTAGGTGACAAAGTGAGACTCCATCTCAAAAAAATAAAGGCATGAGGTTTCTTTAAGGTTGCATTTTTAAGGAATGTAAGTATTAGAACAATGTTTTTCAAACAGGTTGCAATCCATTAGTGGGTCCAGGAAAAATCCAGCAGAAATCAATTTTGGTCAATCGTTAGTCACAATCGACAATTTTTTGAAGGGGACAGAAAATATCACAGTACTTAGAACATGGTTAAGATAGGCAGCATTTGGTAAGACTAATTCTAAGTTATAGTCAACATATATGTATGTGTGTATACTGGGTCATGACATAAAAGCAACTGCCTCCTTGGGGTCAGTCTTTTTTTAAGCTCAAAAGCACTAAGCTAGAACCTGAACACACTTACCATGTCCTCCATTCCACCAACTATCCCCGAGGGAAGAAAAGTAGTCATCATTTCTTCAATCAAGCCAAATGAGCACTACAGAAGATATATTTGCTGTTGTCCACAGCTCCCAATAAAAAAAAAGCCTTGAAAGTTCATTGCAAAAATTTGACTAAAATAAAGTTCATTTTCTACCCATGAAAAAACTGGTTAGAAAAAAGAAAAAAAAAATCTTGAGGAAAGAAAATACTTGTTAAGAAAAGAAACCCTTAGGTCATTTTAAATTTACCCTCTTATTAAAAGTAAGGCTGCCACTCTGAATTTAAATCTATAATTGTCTATGTTATATTTGTCAACTTAAGCATCTCCTTTGATGTTCCCACTTGTTTCTGCTAATCAATGGGACATTGTGTCTTTCAACAGAATTTTAGAAAATTGAAGAAAAAAATATAGTTTTGAGAAGTCATTGACAAGCATTTTAAACATCAAAGAATGGGCCCCGCGTGGTGGTTCACATCTGTAATTCCAGCACTTTGGGAGGCTGAGGTGAGCAGATCACCTGAGGTCAGAAGTTTGAGATCAGCCTGGCCAACATGGCAAAACACTGTCTCTACTAAAAATACAAAAATTAGCCAGGCTTAGTGTCGCATGTCTGTAATCCCAGCTACTCAGGAGGCTGAGGCAGAAGAATCACTTGAACCCGGGAGGCAAATGTTGCAGTGAGCCAAGATTGCGCCACTTCATTCCAGCCTGGGCAACAGAGTCTCAAAAAAATTGACAACATGACATTTTTCTTTGTATTTAAAATATGAAAAGATAAAATTTAGATCATAAGTTATTTTAACAAACAAGATAGAAAACTTGACAGAAATAAGTTACTCAAGAACTTTCAAGTCATATGAAGACTTCATGCTCCCACATTCTCCAAAGATTCCAGAATATCTTATCTTGTCACACCAGCAAAAGAACACTTATATTCAGAGAGACACTGACAGACAAATACAAAAGGGAAATACAAGACATGGAGGCTGAAAATCGGGGTTCAAGTCCAATTCTTTACTTACTACCTATATAACTAAGACTGGGAGATTCATTTGACAGTCTCTGTGCTTTGGTATTCTTTTATCTATAAAATTGGGATAATAAAGCCCAAGCCACCTAGCTGAACTATTGTGAAGATCAAAAGTGGATATACACAGGAGGGTTTTGTAAACTGTAAAGCAGTTAGCAGATATTAGTTGGGTTTTTTGTGTACCACAAATATATACATTTGTATTCATCAATTAATAAACAAAATAGTACACTACAGCTTAAATAATTTTTAATGATGAAATAATGAAAGCTTTCAACACTTAGTTTTGCAAGTATCCCACTGCTGAACATCCCTTACTTGGTTAGGCCACCCCAATGAAGCAAAACAAATTATCTCTAGTTTGTGTGTATCTGTTCTAATCCTCTTCCCTACCCATCCCCCAAACCGAGTTGACTCTAAAACAATAGAACAAAATTTAGTCAAGTAACCACTAAGGAGATACAAAATTGATGAAACAAAAGTAAGTCTTCCCTGTGGTTGATTAAAGTATAAGCCTCTTTTAATCAATTAACTTGTTAAATTAACTAATGTTCTCCAGTTCCCAAGTCTAATAAAGGGACGCTTTTAACAGTCTTAAACCACCTAAAACTAGTAAACAACTCTCTCCTATTTGCCCCCAAGCCCTTTCTTCTCCCAGTAGCTGAGTTGTATGCTTACCAAAAATCACTTGTGTTTATTCACCTGCCAGTTTATAGAAGTCGTAAGTTCTTATAATTATATAATTAAATGTTATATATATATATATATATATATATATACACACATCAATGAAATAAATTAGAAAATTTCCTTGAAAATAACTAATGTGAATGCTTTGTGAAAAATAAGTCAAGACACTGAAAACTTAGGCTCAAATTAGATGTGGGCAGGATAACTGTAAAAGACCGGGCAAGAAGGGAAAACCATACAAATCTAGATAGACAGTTTCACCCAAATTGCTCTGAATGTCATCAAGACCGTGTTCCTCTTTAAAAAAAAAAACAAATTAGAACTCACAGATGATGCTCTGGGAGCACAGTTTATGCAAAAAATTCAAGTAGTATTTCAATCACATCTATATATAAGGATCTTGACCTCATATCAGGAAACTAAAGAGTAAGCATATATTTGTTTAAATTAAAAATGCTCTATATTAAAATAAAAGTTTAAAATATTTCCCCACTTCAACCAATTGTTTAGATTAACCCACGGCCTACTAGTTCTGATCACTTTGGTTAAGAAAACACTGACTGTATTTCTTCAATTAGAGAAGGATGGCCATACATCCCAGTTTACCTGGGACTGTTTGAAACTAATTATTGGCATCACTTTTTATTCTCAAAAGTGCCCCAACTTGAATGCTAAAGTTTATATGGTCACCTTATTTATAACAGACATAAAGTTGTTGCACCAAAAGCGAGCGAGGGGCCAGCCTTAGGAGCCTTAGGACCCCCATCACTTTCTAGGAAACCCCTAAGAGCCATCCCATATAAATAATCTTCGCAAAAACAGTAAGGCTGCTGTGCAGAACAAGGCCCTCTTCTAATCAGATTGCTGCTCTTAAGCTCTTCTTATATAAAAACCCTAGAGCTGATGCACATAAGTATTCTCCCACTTTAAAAATACTGCAAATCCATAAAACATTCTAGCCTTAATCAAGGCCTGGGAACACGCCTAAGCACATGCACAAATCACAAACAGTCAACTAGGAATCTAAACCACTACATTGTATCATCAATCTAAAATCCTGCCTGGGTTTATTTATTCATTTATTTTTGAGACAGGGTCTTGTTCTGTCACCCAGGCTGGAGCGCAGTGGCACAATCATAGCTCACCACAGCCTCAATCTCCCAGGTTCCAGCAATCCTCCCACCTCAGCCTCCCGAGTAGCTGGGACTACAGGCACACACCACTACACCCGGCTGATTTTTTTTATTTTTAGTAGAGACAAGGTCTTGCTATGTTGCCCAGGCTGGTCTCCAACTCCTGAGCTCAAACAATCCTCCTGCCTTGGCCTCCCAAAGTGCTGGGATTATAGATGTAAGCCACTGCACTTGGTCCTGCATGGCCTTAGATAAAATTTCTCACTTTTCTGAACTAGTTTTCACTTATGTAAAACTGGAACAATGTTTGTCTCCTCCACTTCCATAGAGAAACCACATTAGAAAGTATAGTGAAATGCTCAGAGTGCTTTATAAAAGCAATGGATTGTCATCCCATAAAGCTTCTTAATAGATCAAGAAAGAAGGCTGAGGTGACCTTGCATAAACATGCAAGAGGTGGCGGGTGGTTTTCCCTGCTCCTTTCCTTCAGGTGTTTAACTCCAATGTGCTATTGGGACTGTATATAACATGACAAAAGAATCACTAAAAAAGTGAAATGCTGGTGGTACACTTGGTGCTAACAAACTTAGTAGTAATAATCTTTAATCAGGAGTCACAGACTTCTACATCTGTGGTTGAGCTTGAAGAAGTCTACGAAGCCCCCACATGGTAAATAAAATAATGTAAATGAGTGAATGGGCACATTCACACGTGACCACATTTTCCTATGGTCAATCAATAATTCTCCAGTACAGAGAAAAGGACCCTCAGACAGAAGGGGAAATTTCAGCTCTTATTTAGCTACTTACTTGAATTGTTGCCTTGGATAAGTCACTTTACCTCTGTGTGCTTCAATTTCCTCATCTTTCCAGAGGGAATATTTGCCTCATCTACTTCAAAAGGGGTGTTTGGGAGAATAAGATGAGAAAATACAATGAAAGTGGTCCAAAACAATCAAAAGAGTTATCTCTTTTTAAATCACCATTCAGCCACTGATAAGAATCTTGTCTGCAGATGGTTCTCATCTATTTAGGAAGGAACAGTGAAAGAATAAGGAAAGCAAACAGGCCGGGTGTGGTGGCACACACCTGTGGTCCCAGCTACTCAGGAGGCTGAGGTGGGAGAATCACTTGCACCCCAGGGGTCAAGGCTGCAGTGAGCCATGTTCATGCCACTGCACTCCAGTATGGGTGACAGAGCAAGACCCTGTCTCAAAAACCAAACCAAACCAACAACAACAAAAAAAAAAAAAAAAAAAAGGGAAAGCAAACAAAAGCACAATTAAAATTCACCTTCACCCCATTCCCCAGTTCCTCGATTTGCTGAGCCAAAACCATGCTGAGGAGACGTAAAGATCACAAGTTCCATTTCCGCCAGCTCAGACTGTTCAGCGACCAGTGTTTCACGCTGATAAATGCCTCCCAAATCTCAAAACGCAAAGTGAGAGTTCACAAGGTTAGGCGCATTAATTAGCAGTACTCATTTGGATTCTGTATTCATCAAATACAACAAGCAGCTATTCAATATTTGCCTATTTGCACACTCTAAGATCTCTAATTCAAAGATCCAACCAGAGTACAAATTAAAGCCCAAGAAAATAAACTAAAATAAACCTGTCACCATCAGAATGTGCCTCAAAGTAAATCAGCAGCTTTAAACCATGGCAAAGGGTCTGTAACAGGCCTGCAGCAGAGACAGCATGAGTAATGAATGTGCAGGTTACAGAAGTGGGCCCCTACTGCAAAAGAAAGAAAAAGTAGGTACAATCAAAGAGACTACTTTTTTAGGCTTTAATAAATTCCTATTAACTCCTTTTGCTTAGCTCCTTATTGATCTATAATCCCCACAAGAAGAATACAGTACCCTTTCAGTCTTCTAAACTCAGTAAGTCTATTTCCATACTTTACATCAATTAGCTTTACCTTCCTAAATCCACAATAAGCAACATTTTATAAATAATAAAGTAACTGCATTAGTTTGCAAGACTAGATTAAGAGACTAACCACGACCCCTTTATTACATGTCCTAAGTGAAAAGTACAGGATGAAACAGAAACTGTCACTGCTTTTAAAGCAGCCCATAGGACTGTAGTTCTCAACCGCACTACACAGCAGAATCACCTTTGGGATTTTTAAACATTTGAATGGGTAAGCCCAATCTTACACTTACCCAATCAGAAACTCCGTGGGGTGGATCTCCAGGTATGAGAATGTTTTTCTGATATATGACTAAGATATAAAAGTACTATCAAAGGCATAAGTTTCCCAGCTTAGAGAAGCTCTAGGACAGACACAAACCAGAATGAAAAACAAATAAATCTTTACATTCTCTTTAGATTTAGGGTAAATGGCCCTATCTTTTACCAAAAGCTTCCATCTTCAATATCAACAGTGATGAACTCAGTAGGGGATGAACACAGAGCTAACAACACTTCTTCTCCCGATGCCTTATCTGGGGCCACTCTGATATCAACTCAGCACCAAAAGTGCAAGAATTGGACAAATACTCTCAAATCTGAAAGGCCTGCAAATAGGTGACTATTGATTATCAACCATCCTAGTTTTTGTTTTTTTGTAGTTGTTGTTTTTGTTTGTTTTATGTTTTGTTTTTGAGACAAAGTCTCGCTCTATCACTCAGGCTGGAATGCAATGGTGTAGTCTCAGCTCACTGCAACCTCTACCTCCCCAGTTCAAGCAATTCTCCTGCCTCAGCCTCCCGAGTAGCCAGGACTACAACTGCATACCATCACACCCAGCTAATTTTTGTATTTTTAGTAGAGCCGGGGTTTCACTATGTTGGCCAGGCTGGTCTCAAACTCCTGACCTCATGATCCACCCACCTTGGCCTCCCAAAGTACTGGGATTACAGGCATGAGCCACCGCACCCAGCCGACCATCCTAGTTTTTAAGATCCACTTCAGGAGCTCTGATGAGATTCAATGAACTTCTGGAAAGGACACTATGAACTCTTTCGTTTAGCACTGTAACTCATATCTCCTGGACAAGTATAACAATGGTAGCTTTTTTTGACAACCCTGTAAGGAATAATGGCATTCCAAGATATTTCTAGGAGCTACCCTTTCAAATCTCCTGAAGAACGTCAATATCCCCAAACATCAAAGATACAAATTTCTTTCAGAGGCGAGGTGATTTAAGCCACACCATTTCTCTAAGAGGAAGCCTTACCTGTTCTTCTATCCTAACTCTGTTTCAACGTCATGGGCTCAAGTATTCAAACAACAAAAAGATAGGGAAGGCATTTTACACACTTGCCTAAACCATACTGAGGGTGTCTCGTAGGAAGCAATTCTGCTCTGACCCATAATAGGGCCTGGGCTTTTCCAGTCATCCTCCCATCTAACAAAGAAAGGTGGCAGAAACTTTGCTTTCTCAGGCAAGCTTTCCCTGATTAAAACCATAAGGCTGAATTCCCCCAGGGAGGAGAATGGAATTTTCTTGCTACAGATCATTACAAGGACTCAAAAACTCTGTGCAGGCAGGGGCTAACTGGCAGGTAATAAAGAGACAAGTCCAGCATTCAGAATTATAAGGCATCAAGAAAACCAGGTCAAAAAATTATTATGTAGCCTGGAGAAGAAAATACAAAACCAATCATGACTGTGCTTGAGTGATTATTTTCTCTTCTAATATCCACAATTTTAATAACATAATACTTATAGAATTTAAAAATATGCTTAATTTACATCTGTAAAAGTAAATTCACTGCTGAAACAAGCCACATTTCCTTTCAAAGTAAGTAATTTCAGGAAATGCTCTCTATCATAGCAACCCTTTGATGAAACACACCACACACATACATCATCTGAGTTACAAACAGCAGATACCAACCTGGCTGTCCCGCGCTGGGAATCCATGATAACCTGGAGTCAGAGGCTCGTTCTATGAGAAAGACAAGAAAAATATCAAACCATGAGATGAAAGAAAATGTTAGGCATAATCAAAATCATCCAAACTGATCAAATATAAATTCCTGCCCTGGTTCCTAAAATGTTCCATTAACTGTATTCCACCCTACCTAAGTGTATATATCTCCTCGTTAAGCCTCTACACTGGCAAAAACAAAAAACAGTATTTGCTTAGGAGCACTATTCATAAAAACTATTTCTTCCTTATGCAGCTAAATCTGTTTCCTTTCCAGTATATCTTAGGCAGGGTGCTACTGCGACTGGGGTCAGAGTTAATTCCTAACTTCATCATACACTGTGGGACTTCAGCATCCCCAGCCCCAACTCACACTAAGCCGTTAGCACCCCTAAACACTAGGATAACCAAAAACTTGTTGGTTTATTTCCAAATGTCCCCTGGATGGAAAGGGGACAAGTACCAACCCTGCTGAGAACTGCCTCTTAACCCAGAAAAGTTTTAGGTCTTCGTCTCTATCAGCCTGTTTCCCCTCAGTTTTTACTTTTTTATTTATTTATTTTTTGTTTTATCCCCTCAGTTCTTTGAAATCTGGATGAAATCTGACCTCTGTTCAAGACTTCCTCTACTACTCTATATCATCCTATGGACTCAAGTGACTCCTCCTAATATTTAATATTTACTTAGCTTACTTGTGCAGCTTACTTTTTATGTTACTTATGATTCTAATTAACCTTATTTTTTAAAGGTATATCATGTTGAGTATCTGTCTCATTTTCACTTTAAACCACTAAGTCAAGATCCTTGAGGGCAAGGATGATAGCTAATAAAAGCCATGCAAACCCTAATTTAGTATAAGGTCATATAACATGAACACTCATTTCCAGCTTACTTGACCCATTCAATCATTCAGTTAATATATACTAATATTAATATTTTCCAAGCACTGTTAGTCGACTGATGGAGTAAAAAAAGATGAATTAAAAATAAGGCCCTTGCTTTCAAGGGAACTTTTAAATGAGGGAAGATGCACGTGCACACGAAGGAGTAAATGAGAACATACATTGCTTTTGTAATTTTCAAAGTGCTCAACATTGCTACTTAGATATTCATCCTCTTCTTCCATTCACTGTACTTTCATTCCTACTAGCAGAACAGCGTAAAAGAAATTTTCATTGATAGGACTTTTGAATATAACAATAGAGTAAACTTTCCACTAATTGGTAGGTTGACTATATTCAGATATTTGATAGTCAAAAGCATGGAAGTCTGAAGACAACTTAAGCTTACTGCAGAGACCCTGTGTCTTGTTCATCATGGTTTCCCTGAGATCTAGCACAGTATCTAACACATGTAGACACCCAAAAGAATGTGTAATAAATAAATGGAGCTAAATAACCAGAAAATGTGTAGGAATTCAGACAGTTCTGCAAAAGAGATGTGCAAATGGCCAGTAAGTACATGAAGAGATGCTCAACATCATAAGTCATTATGCAAATCAAAACCACATTGAGATAAAACTCACACTCATCAGAATGGTTATAAACAAAATGCCAGACAACAATAAGTATTGTCAAAGACATGGAGAAATCAGAATTCTTCTACACTGCGGGTGGGAATGTAAAATGGTATAGCTGCTCTGGAAACAGTTGGATAGTCCTTCTATTAAACATAGAGTTATATGACCCAGCAATTCCACACCTGGGTATGTAACTAAGAAAACTGAAAACATATGTCCACACAAAATAATATACATGAATGTTCATAGCAGCATTATTTCATAATAACCAAACAGCAGAAAAAAACCAAAATGTCCGTCGATTGATGAATGGATAAATGAAGTATGGTACATCCATAGTGGAATATTATTCAGTAATTTTAAAAATAAAGTACAGATACAACACAGATGAATACTGAAAACACCATGCTTGAAAACAGACACAAAAGGCCACAAATTATATAATTTGATTTGTATGAAATATCAAGAATAGGCAGATTATTCATAGAGGCAGAATATAAATTAGTGGTTCCAGGGACTAGCGGGAAGAAATGAGCAGTGACTGCTAACGGCTACCAGGTTTATCTGGAGGGAGATGACAATGTTCTGGAGTTAGATTTTAGTGATGGATGCACACATCCATTATTATATTAAAAACCACTGAAACACTAAAAGCACTTCATAAATGCGAGATTTATGGTCTGTGAATTATATCTCATTAAATCTGTTATTTAAAAATAATAATAGTTATAGGCAATGTTGGCTATTTTTCATACTGATTTTTATAGGGGAGACATGCAGTTTAGATTTTAACAAAAGAACAAGGCTCTTTCCGAAATGCACAAGTGCCTTTTGTTTGTTCTGGATTCTATAAATTTACTTCCACACACCATTCTCTACAAATTTTAACAATGATGATGATAACCCCCCAGTTATTAAGCACCTAATCAGTACAGTTCCAGGATGGTGGAAAAGAGGAAGAGATAGAGGCAAAAAGAATGAGATAATATAGCAGTATACAAAAATATATTTCCTATCACTGGGGAAACTAACTGAAAGAAGGTAAGTAACTGGCCCAATAACACATAGATATTGAATGGGAAATTCAAACTGCCAACCTGTGTCTGCTGGACTACAAACCCCTGTTCTTTCCATTTTTCCAGGTTCTCATCCCTACTAATGATTCCATATTATTCCCTTACAATAAACATTTCATGATTGTCTGAGAAGGGGATTATCTGATTAAGAAAGTAATCAAAAACCCCAAAAGCATATTAACAGAAATTCATCACTCCCAGAGGACATCCCACATATGAACCATATTCCATAAAATCCTGGAGTTCAACAATGAAAAAAATATAAGGAAAAGATCACATTCGTATAAGCCAGTATTGTCAAAAACTTCAATAGAAAAGTTGGTCATAACAGGTTGCACAGAGATGTGTCAGAGGAAATGGATTTACTCCTCCACCTGCCTTAGCACTCTTCTTTATTTCCTACCTCTCAGATAAGGCTATTTGGAACTCTCAAGCCCTCCCTGTATATATCTGTCTCTTACAAATGCATTAATTTTGCGTGATTTTGAATTTTACAGGCATGGATCCTATTGCAGGTATTCTTCAGTAATTTGGCATTTTTGCTCAATACTATGTAAGATTCACCTCCACTAGGGCACATAACTGTATTTTACTATGATTGCCATTTAGTATTCTCTTATAAACTATAAACATGTCAAATAAATTACTTATCTGTCCTATTTTCCTGTTAATGGATAATTGAATTGTTTCCACTTAATGGTTTTTGTGCTCACACCATGCTGCCTACGAACATTCTTTTAGATTTGAGATACCATGTTTTACATATGAGATTAGCAAAAATGAAAACACCATGAATAGGCAAAAAGATGAGTCAATAGATACTCTCACACCTAATAGTAGGAATATAAGTATATTGGGATGCTGTTATGGAAAGTAATTTGGCAGTACTATCAAAATATTGAATGCATATACCTTCCTGTAACTTCACATCTCTATCTAGACAAAGAAGCATGTGCGAAGATTTTCAAAACAGTGTTGTTTGCCTTAGTGAAAAACTAGGAAAAAAAACCTCAGTTTCCATTAATAATAAGGTAATAGTGTTATCAATTATTGCAAAATTTCAACATCCCACCTGCAAGGTTTTTAAAATAAGGTAAAATCTTTATAAATGACCTCAGGTCATATTAAATGACAGCAGAACAGAACACTCAAGCAGAAATGGCTAGCTACACAGAAGGCTCAGGCAGGAGGATC